>NC_000009.12:105038733-105190248 GCF_000001405.40 Homo sapiens
ATCAGTGTTTAAAATCATTTTCCCTTAAAATTTTAAAGGTACTACTTCACTAAGTGCTGGAGTTTTTATTGAGAAACCTAATGCCATTTCTTGTTACTGGAGCACGTGGGGCCTGTTTTTCCCTCTTTTGACACTTTTAGAGTCATCTTTAGTCCTCGTACTGCAAAGCTTAATAAGAGGGTGCCTGGGTTGGACCTTTTTAAATTCATTGTGTTGGGTTGTTAATGGGCTCTTTCAGTCTGGAAACTCTTGTCCTTCAGTTTTGGAATTTTTTTTTCTGTGGCATCTTTTATATTTTCCTTCCATGTATTTTTTCAGTTTGCTTTTCCTGGATGTCAGACTTCCTAAATTGATTCCCAAATTTTCTTATCATTTTTATAGTTTCTTTTCTATGTCTTCTTTTCCACCCTTCTCTCTAAAAGATTTCAATTTTATCTTTCATATTTTCTATCAAATTCTCCATTTCAGTCTGCAGGAAACAGTTAACATAGCAGGCCTAATATTGCTATCTCTAGGAGGTTTGGGAGATGGCCCCTGAGAACTTGGCCTCTGGTATGTTCCCTAAGCTTTGAAGTGATAGGGTTGTTTTTGTGCCTGCATTCTGTACCAGCCTGCCTAGAGTGCATATGCAAATAACATGATTTATGATGAACACCTGCTTTCCTTCTGAGGGTATGGAACTTTGGTAACGTGGCTGGTTGCACAGGCAGAGAATACTTGAATGACCAGCATCAAAAACCCCGGATTCTGAGTCTTAAATGGTCTTACCTGGGTAGAAACACTGCATATGTGTCCCTGCATTTAACTGCTTCAGTGTGTTATGTGAGATAACCACTGCTCCACCCAGAGGAAAAACTTTGGAAGCCTGTGCTGGACTTGTCCAGACTCTGCCTGACGTGTTTTTCCCTTGTTGATCCTGTGTGTTCTTTTGTTGTAATAAACAAGAGCCATGATTACAACTGTCTCTGAGTCCTGAGTCTTTCTAGAGAATCACTGAATGTGTGGATAGTCAAGGAAATGCCTCAAACTAACAGTTATCTCATATATATACATATGTTATTTCTATGAATTCTATTTTGTTCTCTGGTAGCACCTCTTCTTAAAAAGCATAGCACTCTGCTCTTGTTTAAGGTATACAATATCTTCTCTTACCTTGTGGAGAATTTTAATTCTACACTTTGTAGGTATTGCTCCATATGTTGCCTTTCGCTCCATCTACTTGGTTTTGGTCTCTCTCTTTAACGTTGGAGACTTTCCTTATATATTTGGTGATGCCTGCTTGTCCATTCGTGGTTAATGATGAAGCACCAAAAAGCTGATGGAAGCTATGTTTGCATGGATAGCTTGTTGAATGAGCAAACTGCCTTTCTTCATAGGGAGTGTCAGTATATAGAAGCTTTTCACCTGGGAATAGTTTCTCCAGAAAATAATTCTTTAATTTTCTACTTGTGAGGCACTTGCAGGGCTGCTGGGTTTTTATGACTAGAGTAGGCAGTGGTTTTAAAAAAATCTGGAGATATGTATACGGGACTCTCTTAGTTCATTTAGTGGTACTATATGGTGCTGTAACAGTATACCTGAGGCTGGGTAATATATAAAGAAAGAGTTTTTTGTTTTTTGTTTTTCTCACAATTCTAGTGGCTGGAAAGTCCAAGGGCACAGTGCTAGCATCTGCTTGGCTTCTGGTGAGGGCTTCATGTTACATCATAACATGGTGGAGATGTGAAGGGGAAGCAAGCATGCCAAAAGGACCAAACATAAGGAGGAACCTTGTTTTATAACAGCCCGCTTTCCAGGGACCTAATCTAGTCTCAGGAGTGAGTACTCACTCCCAAGAGACAAGATGGCTTTAATCTATTCATGAAGAATCCAACCCCATGACCCAAGCACCTCCCCCTAGCCCCACCTCCCAACACTGCCACACTGGCAATTGAACTCTCTTGAGTTTGGTGGGGACAAAACACATCCTCTAGGGCAGCCATTCCTCCCTAATCGGGCACAGCCCCTTCCCTCCTCCTTGTGGCCCAGGGATCATCTGCTTTCTACTCTGTCTACAGATTCTATACCCCTTCTTTTGTGCTGCTCCCACTCTCACCTCTGTCAGACAGGTTATGGAACAGGATGCAGTCTCCTTTGCTTCTGATTTTCTGCTCCCCCCAGATAAGTCCCTTTTCCCCTAACTATTACTTCTAATGAAGTCAGGGAAATGGAAGGATGGCAAAAAATCACAAAGATGAGACCAGAACAGAGGTTTCTAAACTCTTACAACATTCTCAAAATTACTGTCCCTAATTTTTGTTCCCTAATTCTACTGTTGCACCCCACCCCCACTTTGCTGCTTCCTCCACCCCACACGTGTTGTACTCTAAAAAATAAGAAGAAAAGGCCAGGTGCAGTGACTCACGCCTGTAATCCCAGCACTTTGGGAGGCCGAGGCAGGCGGACCACCTGAGGTCAGGAGTTTGAAACCAGCCTGGCCAACATGGTGAAACCTCGTCTCTACTAAAAATACAAAAATTAGCCTGTCCTGGTGGCGGGTGCCTTTAGTCCCAGTTACTTGGGAGGCTGAGGCAGGAGAATCGCTTGAACCCAGGAGGTGAAAGTTGCAGTGAGCCAAGATCGTGCCACTGAACTCCAGCCTGGGTGACAGAGCGAGACTCCGTCTCCAAAAAAAAAAGAAAAGAAGAAGAAGAAAAATAACCTTTTTAACATAGGGTTGTAGTAGAAAATTCCAGATAACATTCCTCATTCCCTACCACATACCCACACTCAAATTGAAATTCAAATTAAAGTCCTCTATAACTTGTTCACCCACCATTGTTAACATTTTGGTGTTATTTCTTTCCAGGCTTTCTTCTACTCAAAATGTTAGATTATGCCCATATATAAATCATATATTTTGCAAAACTGGGATTTTACTGTTCATATATATATATATATACATATATATATATACACATATATATATACATATATATATACATATATATATACATATATATACACATATATATACGTATATATATACATATATATATACATATATATATATATATATATATATATATACATATACATAATTTTTTTTTTTTTTTTTGAGATAGAGTTTCACTCTTGTTGCCCAGGCTGGAGTGCAATGGTGTGGTCTCGGCTCACTGCAAACTCTCCTTCCCAGGTTCAAGCGATTCTCCTGCCTCAGCCTCCCGAGTAGCTGGGATTACAGGCACACACCAACACACCCAGCTAAATTTTGTATTTTTGTACAGAAGAGGTTTCACCATGTTGGTCAGGCTGGTCTCAAACTCCTGACCTCAGGTGATCCGCCCACCTCAGCCTCCCAAAGTGCTAGGATTATAGGCTTGAGATACCGCACCCAGCTGTTCATATATTTTTGTAACTGCTGTTTTTCTTTAATAAATAATGGGCACCCGCCTGGATAAATAAATACAACTCACAAGCCCATATTAATTATCTGAATTATATTGACTTAAAATAATTTATCTAAGACCAGATGGATGGACATTCAGGTTGTTTTCAATTGTATGCTGTTATAACTATTGCATGGGTTAGCATACTTGCATAAATATCTTTGCACATTTGTCCAACGTTAAACCTAGGCATAGAAGTTGAAGGAGCTCTAAATCAAGGTATACTAATTTCTACCTCATCAACATTGGCCCTTCTGCCACATCATTGCTAACATTGCATATTAGCATGCTTTTAAGTTTTTGATAGGCAAAAGATGCAACAATTACATCTTGTTTGTATTTGCATTTCTTTGCTACTAAGTAAGTTTCCACATATTTGTTGGTCACTTGTTTTTATTTTATCACTTTCTTGTTCTTGCCCATTTTTAAAAGTTAGGATGGTGAGCTTGTTTTATTCTTTAACAGTTCTTTGCATACTCAATATATTCACTTTTAGTCTGATACATAGATTGAGAATTTTCTTCAGTTTGTCATTTGCATTTTTATATGCTTATGGTACTTTTGGATATTTAGAAGAAATAGAATTTTCATGGTAAATCTGTTTGTGTTCCTCTTTCTGGTTTCTGTCTATGGTGACATTTTCTAAAAAGACCTTCACTCCCTCTTCACTCCCTATCAAGATATTTGTTAGTATTTCCTTCTAGTACTTTTATCTTTTTATTTGTTTATATTTAATTCCTTAATCCATTTCAATTTATTCTGATATATGATGTTGCATGTTAGTGATCTCCAGAAAAACAGAACCAATAAGATATGTATACGGAGAGAGAGAGAGAGGAGAGAGGGAGAGAGAGATTTTAGGAATTGAGCCAGTTGTGTGACTGGCAAATTCAAAGTCTGCAGAGCAGGTGGCAGGCTGGAGACCCAGGGAAGAATCAATGTTGTAGCTTGGGTCAGAAGGAGTCTGGGGTGAACGGCTCATGCCTGTAATCCCAGCACTTTGGGAGGCTGAGGCAGGCAGATCATTTGAGTCCAGGAGTTTAGGACCAGCCTGGGGAACATGGTGAAGCCCAGTCTCTACAAAAAATACAAAAATTAGCCAGGCATGGTGGTGGTGTGCCTATAGACCCAGCTACTCGAGAGGCTGAGGCCAGAGGATGACTTGAGCCCAGGTGGCAAAAGTTGCCATGGGACTGTGCCACTGCACTCCAGCCTGGGCAACAGACACCCTGTCTCAAAAAAAAAAAAAAAAAAAGAAGAGGAAGAAAAAAGGAGGAGGAGGAGGAGGAGGGGGAGGGGGAGAAGGAGGGGGAGGAGGAGGAGGAGGAAGTTCAGAGGCAGTATTCTCTTTTTCTCAGGAGACCTCAATTTTTCATAATCTTAACGCCTTCAACTGATTGGACAAGGCCCACCCAGTTTATGGAGGGTAATCTGCTTTACTCGAAGTCTACTGATATAAATGTTAATTTCATCTTAGAAATATCTTCACAGAGATCTCTTGACTGGTATTTGACCAAAGAGCTAGATATAGTGGCCTAGCCAAGTTGACACACAAAATTGCCATCACAGAGTGAGTCAGGGATCTAACTTTATCTTTTCCCTATTCTCTTTCTGATAAGAGGTCCCACAAAGCCCTGATTCCCTCATATTCTCTTCTGTTAGACTGTAGGGGCTAAAAAAGGTATTCAACAAACTTCCTTCTCTTCTCTTAGTTTGGCCTTCCATTCTCTAGATCCTACAGATGCCTTTTCAAACCTCAAATGACAAATAGACGAAAATAATGGGTGTGATCTAGTCTATTTGTCTCCAAAATTTGGGAGCTTGACCCATAGCAGACAAAAGGCATGCCCCATCTTGATCTGTGGGGGGATTTTTGCTCATGGCAGCGTCCCCTTAGACACCCTGAAGAGATAGCCAGAAAAGTGTGAAATTTCTACTTATCTTCACACTCTAGTAAGCCCTCTAACCCTTGTTTCTCGACTACAAGGCAGGATCCAAGAGTTCTAGAGCTTTCTAGCCAGGGCATTGTGAGGACATGGAGCCCGCAAGGAAAATTTCTGCCCAAGCATATGACATTATGATTAATAAGCATCAGCCATTAAGTATTTTGAGAGCTTCAGATGAAAGTTTCACAAACAGACCAGAGTGTCATATAATAAGGATTATAAGCTTCTAAGTATTTCATACTTGCCTTGATCAAAACAGAAAACTCTTCATGTATACATTATTAATAAATTTGGATGCCCCTTTAAAGGTGATTAATTAGGTCTGAGTCTCCTTCAGACTCTATGATCACACTGAAGATCTACACACTGGTCTGTCTGCTCCAGAGCTCCAGGCTTTTATCTCTCTAGTTTGGCAGGAATCTCCATGGGAGGCCAGTCCTAGCCTTGAGTGTGAAGGGTCACCAGTGGGGCATCATCCCCTGCGTTCTGGAGTGTGCTGAATGCCAACTCCCATTACATGGGGACCAAAATGAGCTCAGGAGCATTGGTATCAAGCCAGACTGCCAGTCTTCCACTCAGGCATCTCGGCCAACCTGCAACAAACACTGCCTGGTCTAGCTATTTAGAACTGAATAATTGGCACAGACATAGATGCCTGCTGACTTGCATTTGGTGCTCCCATTTGAATTTGAATTCTTTCATTAAGCCACAGAGCATCCTTTTTAAAGGTCCAGATCCTCCCAGGATAATTAGACTCTTCCTACAGCAACAGGAAGGCTGAATTATTCTTTCTGTCTCCCTGATCTGGCTGCATTTAAACAAGTTGGTAGGTACTTTCTGAAACAATTAGAAGAAAAGGGATAAGATGAGTGAGGCTCAATTCCCTTTTCAAAAAGTGCAGACAATGGCGGGTGCGGTGGCTCATGCCTATAATCCCAGCACTTTGGGAGGCTGAGGTGGGCAGATCACTTGAGGTCAGGAGTTCGTGACCAGCCTGGCCAACATGGTGAAAACCCGTCTCTCCCAAGAATACAAAAATTAGCCAAGCATGGTTGTGCAAGCCTGTAATCCCAGCTACTCAGGAGACTGAGGCAGGAGAATTGCTTGAACCCGGAAGGCGGAGGTTGCAGTGAGCCGAGATCATGCCACTGCACTCCAGCCTGGGTGACAGAGCGAGAGTCTATCTCAAAAAAACAAACAAACAAACAAAAAAACAACAGTGCAGACAAGAGATCTAAAAATGCTTCTTGCTATCTAGTAAGCTTGGATGTGCCTTCTTGGAGGCTACAGAAGGGTAGCCTTGAAAAATTGGATTTTTGCTGGGTACTTCCCAGTGAATCAAGGCACTGGCATCCCTGGGGGGCTCTGCAAGGTTATGGTCCTGAGGTTTGTGTATGAGAGTCCTGTTGCTGTTCCAGTGCATTTATAAGCCCTTATTGAGATGGCAGGTGACTAGAGGGAAAAGGACTCCTGTTGAGTATTTTTTTTTTTTTTTAAGAAATCCTTTAGGAAGCTGGATTAGGCTACGTGGAAATGTAATTGTGATTCTCAGCAGGCTGAGACTCATTAACAAAGAGCCAGAATAATGGGTTTTTATACAAGGTATTCATTCATTCATTTTTATTCATTTATTCTTTAACTGAATGTCTCCGCTAAGTGCCAAGCACTGGGTGGGATCCAGTCCCTGTCCTCAATGAGCTGAAAGTGTTTATATGGGAAGGGAAGTGTGGGTGGAGAACAGAATGCAGGAGAGACAGACAAGTAAACAGGTTATTAATACACTGTGATAATTACTAAAACAGTGGTAGGTACAAGCATCAAAATTCGGATGGGGAATAATGCATTAGAAATGGTGTAGGGAAAAAGTATGAAGGAGAAGAAAGACTTGACAGTGGACATGAAGCTATAGCTGAGCCTTTTTTTTTTCTTTTTTTTTTTTTGATACAGTGTCTTGTTCTGTTGCCCAGGCCAAAGGGCAGTGGTACAATTATGGCTTACTGCAGCCTCAACCTCCTAGCCTCAAGCAACCCTCCCACCTCAGCCTCCTGAGTCACTGGGACTACAGGTACATGTCACCATGCCCTGGCTAGTTTTTTTTGTGGACTTTTTTTTTTTTTTTTTTTGAGATAGGGTTTCACTCTGTGGCCCAGGCTAGGGTACAGCAGTATGATCTCGGCTCACTGCAACCTCCACCTCCCGGACTCAAGCGATCCTCCCACCTCAGCCCTCCCAGTAGCTGAGACAAGTAGGCACCACCATGCCTGGTTAATTTTATTTTTTTGTAGCAACGAGGTCTCATTGTGTTGCCGAAGCTGATCTTGAACTCTTGGCTCAAGTGATCCTCTTGCCTCGTCCTGCCAAAGTGCTAGAATTACAGGTGTGGGCCACCACACACAGTCTTTTGTTGAGTCTTGAATGATGAGTAGGAGCTTGTCAGACAGATCAAGAAGTAGGTAGAAGAGAAAGGAAGGCATTCCAGTCAGAGACAAGAAAAGGCAAAATGAAGGGGGCATAAAACGACATGGTGTATGCACAGTACTGTGAGTTGGTATGACGAAATGCTAGAAGCATGGGGAAGGGGACAGAAAAAAATGAGACTAGAGAGGTAGCCAGGGGCCAGATCTACAAGTTCTTTCAATACCATGAAATATATCCCTGAGGCAATGTGTCTAATAAGCCGTACCCTGGAATTTTGGGTCACCTGGCACAAACTATGGCTAACTATATCTATCTCTTCCTAAAAGTCTGTGGACCAAGGAGCTCCCCAAAGAGCAAAGGATATGGCACATCCATTGCTTGACCTGGTATATGCTAATAAAAATAAAGTACGGACAGGCACAGGCCCAAGACTAATGCCCTGCAGCAGCCACAAGGGGCTTGCTTCCATATCACTTTCCATTCATTAATTGGTATCCACTGGGTATAATTATGAAGCCACCACATGATACCTGTATCCAGCCTCTCTTTCCACATTTTGCATTCAATAATGTCACATGAGACATGTCTGGCTGTCATCCAGATATTCTGTGCTCACTCCACATATCTGCTCAACCAGTCTAATGGCCTTAATCAAAAAAGGAAATTAGATTACTCTAGCATGACCTGTTTTACTGAAATGCTACTGGCTTAGAGGGATTGCTGCTTAATTTGTAAGCACTCATAAGCCATTAGTAGAATAATCTCTTATGGAATTTTGCCTAGGACTGGTGCCAAGCTCATGAATCCATAGTGGGTGAAACAGGGAGGGAAAAATTAATTGTATTTCCTAAAAATCAAGGCATTTGTCCATCCTTAGTACTCCAGTATGATTCCTATTTTTCATCAGTCCTTGAGATTATCAGCAGCAATCCTGTGATCTTACTAGCAAACATAGTGATAGCTTGAAGAGTGATTTGTTTAGGCCAAGAGACAAAGTCCAGACAGCTGTTACCTCATTTCTCCCCTCTGAGAAGATTTCATCTCTTTAATTAGTTTGTGCCAGTCTTTTTAGTCAGAATATCCTTATTCTTGACAGAGAAGAAACAACAACATTGGACCTACCCAATAATCTTTCTGATTCTTTCTTTTGTTCTGTCTCTTGAACGCTTTTATCTGTTCTTGGTGAGTCTAAATTTTTTTCAAAGGTTGACTTGCTTAGAACATTAACTCTCATATTCCATATATTTTGTCTCAATATTTACCATTCCCCAACATCCAAAGTCCACAGGACAAGTGTTTCCAACATGACAATTGATGGTCCCTGAAACCACACATCTGAACTCACTCTGAGTCACATGGGGATTTAGTGCTTCAGGAATTATCTCAGAGGTAATACATCATGAGGAAATCTGCAGGGACAAGAGTCTTGCAAATCAACCTTGACAGGAGAGACCCCTTGAACTCGTTCACTTCTGTACAATTCCATTTCGATATGTCTCTTTTTCACTACTTGAGTAAAAGACAGACTTAGGGTTGAGAAGACAAATTATCTCTATGGACCTCAGTCTCTTAATTTATAAAATGAAGAGTTCTGGTAAGATAACTTTTAAGATCTGTTTCAACTAGAAAGTTATACAGCCCCAGAAATCTGAAGAGAAGAAGAAGAATTAAGATTCATGGAGGACCTATGACAAACTAGACATTATGCTAAAATCATAACGCCCGAGACCTCTTTTAGATCAGACAACAATCTTATGAGCTGATCCCATTTGGCAGATAAGGAAGATGAACTTTACTGGTATTGCATACTTTGTCCAAGGTCACAAAACTATTAATCATAAGTAAGGGGCAGAGTAGGAATTCGTATCCATCTACATCATTGATTCTCAACTGGGGCTGATTTTGTCCCCCAGTACGCATTTGGCAATGTCTGGAGACACTTCTGGTTGTCACACTTAGGGAATTGCTACTTGCAGCTAGTGGGTAGAGGCCAAGGATGTTGCTAAACCTCTTACAACACACAGGATAGCCCCCACAACCAGGAGTTATCTGGCCCAGAAAGTCACTAGTGCTGAGGCTGAGAAACCTAATATAGCTAGAAAGCCCAAGTGATATTGAATTGACCTAAATCACTTGTCAAATTCAGAAAATATTAATTATCATTGCTACACACAATTTTCTATCAAAGGATTTCCAGTCACAAAGAACAAACACACATCCCCCAAAGGAATGTAGCTATTATCAAGCCTGAGAATTTTACACTGTATCCCATTATATGCCCGCATTATGTAATAGAAAACAAAATTTTCCAATGCTTTTCTCCCAAATCTTTTTTTGTTTTGTTTTTGTTTTGAGACGTAGTCTCACTCTATTGCCCAGGCTGGAATGCAGGGGGGTGATCTCGGCTCACTGCAACCTCCAACTCCCAGTTTCAAGCGATTCTCCTGCCTCAGCCTCCTGAGTAGCTGGGACTACAGGCATGTGCCACCATGTCTGGCTAATTTTTATATTTTTAGTAGAGATGGGGTTTCACCACGTTGGCCAGGATGGCTTCGATCTCTTGACCTCATGAGCCGCCCACCTAGGCCTCCCAAAGTGCTGGGATTACAGGTGTGAGCCACCACGCCCGGCTCTCCCAAATCTTTCAGTAAAACTGATGGCCCTGGAAGACACAGCATGCTTATCCCATGGCTTCTGCTGTCCACTCACTCACCACTCATAAGCCATGAGTAGGTGGTAAGGGGACATAGCTAAGCCCATTGGCAACACTAGCCATATCCACAAGGTCTTTGACAACAAAAAATTGGAGCTCTAAACATAAAAGTGTTACAAAAGAGAGAGGAGAAAAATGAGTGGAATATGAGGAAAGACCTTAGAATTATCCATTTTGGCGATCTCATTTTGGAGATAAGGAGGTCAAGGCCCAGAGAAGTTAAGTGGCTTGCCAGAAATACACAGAAAACAAAGGCCAGGTCCAAACATCATACAGCACTCAGCTGTAATTTAAAAATTGGGCCAGGCATGGTGGCTCATGCCTGTAATCCCAGCACTTTGGGAGGCCAAGGCGGGCAGATCACCTGAGGTCAGGCATTTGAGACCAGCCTGGCTAACATGGTAAAGCCCTGTCTCTACTAAAAATACAAAAATTAGGGCTTGGCACGGTGGCTCACGCTTGTAATCCCAGCACTTCAGGAGATCAAGGCGGGCACACCACGAGGTCAAGAGTTCGAGAACACCATGGCCAACACAGTGAAACCCCATCTCTACTAAAAATACAAAAATTAGCTGGGCATGGTGACGGGCACCTGTAATCCCAGCTACTTGGGAGGCTGAGGCAGGAGAATCGCTTGAACCTGGGAGGCAGAGGTTGCAGTGAGCCAGGATCATGCCACTGCACTCCAGCCTGGGTGAGGGAGCTAGACTGTCTCAAAAAAAAAAAAAAAAAAAAAAAAAAAAAAAAAAAATTAGCAGGACATGGTGGGAGATGCCTGTAATCCCAGCTACTTGGGAGGCTGAGGCAGGCAAATTGCTTGAACCTGGGAGACAGAGGTTTCAGTGAGCCGAGACCGCACCATTGCACTCCAGCCTGGGCAACAAAAGCAAAACTCTGTCTCAAAGAAAAGAAAATAATTGTTTCTTGAGAAAATAAATAAATCAGCCCAGACCAGAGAACTCCTATGTTCTCTTCACAGCTGCTATCAGCCTATGTGGCAGACCCTGTCTATTACCAACCTGGCAGCCTCTTCTCCCGGTGATCAATCATCTAAGCTAGTCATACCTTCCAAATCACACCACAGAGTTGCCCCAGGGGTCCCAGTTGCCCCATGCCTCATAATTGTTGCATGGCTGGGCAAAGACAGCCAGCTCACCTCATGGTTATGGGGTCTGGAGATCATCTCTAACACCTCTGACATCTCCAGGAACCGCATGCATCTGTGAACACCATCGCCAGGGTGGATTTCATGGCACCTCTTCTTCATGTCTCTAGCATCCAAAACAATTCTAGTATGTCTGACTAATGGAATTGGATTCCTGTGTGTTCATCCCAGCTGCAAAGGAAGCTGGGAAGGCAGGTTTCTGGCCTTTCCTTTGGGTTGGCGTGGGCCTGAAAGGTAGAGAATTCTCCAAACTTGGTGAAGTATTTAAATGAAAGATGTCTAGTCTTTTAAAGAATAAAATTAATTTGATCATCATCCTGATGTTGTGAGGAAGAAGTAACAGAGAGGGAGGTGTCATTTGGGAGCTCCACCATTTAACAAGTTACCCAAGCAAGAAACTTCATTGCCACCTGGTCTTTTCTTCTCTTCCCTTCCACATAAGTCCTACCAATTTACTCTTGAACCCTCTCTAGTGTTTGATCCCTCTTTCCATCCCCTCTGCCCTGGTTTAGGTCCTTAACTGTTCTCACCTGGACTGCTGAAACAGTCACCTAACTGGCTTCCCACCTCTAATTTGATTCCTCGGGTTGTTCTATGAATGATGTTTGTGAAGCACAAGCCTGATTGTGTCACTCCGCTTCTTAGGGGTTTGATGGGTCCCATTGCTGTCCCAATTCTGTCCCATTGCTCACAGGATAAGATGCAAAGTCTTTTATTACCTGACGGTGCTCACCTTTCCAGCTTCATCTCCTGCCACATCCTTTATACACCCTTGTGTAGAGAGCACACACCCTAGTCACAGTGAACTTCACAGAATCCATGATGACATTTTTTGTTTACATGGTTTTTCTTCTGTTCCTTTTGCTAAGAGTGCCTGCCCCATCTCTACCTGGTGAAATCCTTCCCTCATTGACGGCCAGCTTGAGAGTCATCTCCTCTTGGAAGCTTACAAAATTCCTCTAAAGAGAGTTTGAGGTTCCTTCTTCCCGTGTACTTACAGCATTTTGCATCTAGGTCTCCAGTAACCCATCTTGCTGTGTACTTCTGGCTTGATTCCATGGATGTTCCCTCTCTAGATAGCGAGTGTCTTAGGGGCACGGGTCTAATTTCAGTGCTCACTGAACTCTTGCTGTCTGGCGGAAGGCTGAAGGTTGGAGTGATAACCAAATGGGAAACAACTTGGATTTGATCTGGCCTCCTTTCATTGACTATTCTGGTGTTAAGATAGAGGCTTTTGAAATTTGACATCTCAAACTATTCCTTTTATGCAAACACAAAATCCATTACCTTAACATTTTAGGGAAATGGTTGTGTCGACAATAATTTTTTTTTTTTTTTTTGAGACAGAGTTTCACTCTTGTTGCCCAGGCTGGAATGCAGTGGCGCGATCTCAGCTCACCACAACCTCCACCTCCTGGGTTCAAGCGATTCTCCTGCCTGACTCCTGAGTAGCTGGGATTACAGGCATGTGCCACCACACCCAGCTAATTTTTTGTATTTTTAGTAGAGATGGGGTTTCTCCATGTTGGTCAGGCTGGTCTCAAACTCCCGACCTCAGGTGATACGCCAACCTTGGCCTCCCACAGTGCTAGGATTACAGGCTTGAGCCACCATGCGCGGCCAACAATATTTTTAATACTTCATTGTATCAGCAGCTGGATATGCACCCGTTACCAGGAAGCAACCTACGTAAGAAGCCCTAGAGAGTGCTTTGAGTTCTGAGAGTAAGAGCTTCCTTTGCAGATGGGTGGGGCTAGGATGATTAGAATTAAGATTGTTTTTGTCTTAATGCTGCCTTAATGCACAGGACCCACACTGGATCTACACTGGATCCACACTGGATATACGGGATCCACGGAAGCAGTGATGATTGCTGGTTTTGTTCATAGATATATCCTGAGTGCCTAGCCTGGTGCATAGTAGGTCAATAGTAAAGACTTTTCGAATGAGTGAATGAAAACAGGGCTGGAATTCAAGATTGAGACTGTCCCTAAATTCATTGACCTCAAAATAATTTTACATCCACTGAAATAGGAAAAGAATTTCCTAGGCTAGAAGGAACTAAAGAAGAGTGATGAGGGTTGTTGTCATAGCTCGGCTGGTCACGGAAGGCCGGGCTAAAGAGGGGAACGTTTGCACAGAGACGTGAATGATGAACATGAGGAAGGAGCCATGAGTATCTCAGGGAAGAGCATCTAGCTTCCCCTCCTGACCACACACATACACCAATCCCCGCCCTAGCAGCTAAATTATTAAAATACAAAAAATGTGTCTTATTCTCACTTCTACAGTACCCCTTGGAGGTTTGCTTTAATTTCTGACATAATTTATACGTCAGGAAAAGACTGATGCTCCTCTAGTTAGGTTGGGTCAAAATCCCCAGTCGATGCCCTGTGGCAGTTCAAAGGCCCCTGCTGAGACTCCATGGCTTTCCAGGAGCTCACAACATTCCAAGGGTCACTTTCCGATCTATGTCTTACTTCCACACACCTGAGGTCTCCACGTTGATCCTGGATCTATGTCTTACTTCCACACACCTGCGGTCTTCAAGTTGACCTAGGTGTACAGGAACCCTTCTGAATATTATAAAATTAATCAGAGAAGAAGGGAGAAGGAGAAACTAAAATAAACCAAGCTTGCTGCATGTTCAGCATTAATCATTAGGTAGCTTGCTCTCCGACCTGCTTCACCATATTTAATAATTGTTTGTTGCCTACTGTCCTAGAATCAAGTAAGACTCTGTTACAAGATGATAGTTCTGTTAACTGCTCTGTAGATAACAACTTGAACATAATGAAACATTAAGTTTTCCCTTTGAGATATTCTTTCAGGTCCTGTATAACAGTGGAACTACTGATATCAGTTGCTCTGAAGGACCCCACTGACTCAGCTGAGCAGAGGAACACCACGAGCAGCTGACTCACCAAAGAAGGTGATTTCCACATTGTGATGATTTCATCACCCTTGCCCTGACCAATCAATTACCCCAATTTTTAAGTCCCTTGCTCACCACAATCCCCCTAAAAATCCCAGCCCAGGCTGGGCTCAGTGGCTCACGCCTGTAATCCCAGTACTTTGAGAGACCGAGGCGAGCAGATCATTTGAGGTCAGGAGTTCAAGACCAGCTTGGCCAACATGGTGAAATGCTGTGTCTACTAAAAATTTGAAAATTAGCCAGGAGTCATAGCAGGCACCTGTAATCCCAGCTACTCCAGAGGCTAAGGCAGGAGAATCACTTGAACCTGGGAGGCAGAGGCTGCAGTGAGCCTAGATTGCGCCACCGCACTCCAGCTTCGGTTACAGAGTGAGACTCTGTCTCAAAACAAAAAAAAAATCCCAGCCCAGAACTCCTTGGGGGTATGGATTTGAGGGCCTCCTCCCATCTCCTCACTCAGATCCCTGCAATCATTGAACTCTTTCTGTGCTGCAAACCCTGCTGTCTCAGTATAATTGGTCTGTTACTGCACAGTGGGCATATGAATCTGTTGGTCCCATAAATGATTTTGGTGAGCCTAACCTAGAGCCCCTTGTGAGCATCTGCCCATGGCTCAGTGCCCCTTTGTCCTTGGGACAGACCTGGAGACAAGTCCAAGCAGTTGCTTGGTTCCATTGAACTGGGGGCTGTCTCCAGTGCCTTGCTTGTCAATGGGACAGTGGTGACCTTCAGTGCATAAATAGCTTGCAGCAAAGAAATAGTTTCTGGTTTTGAAAGACATCTTTGGTAAGTTTTCTCTGTGCAGCCAGCACCTCTTCCCCCTTTCCTAGTTTGCTGGCCTCCTCAGAGGTCTTTTGACCTTTCTGAGGTTTCGTTGACCCTCCCTGGCAACAGGAAGGGCCTTCTTTGAGGGGATTTACCCTAAATTGGAAGGAGAATAAAGGGCACTGCTTGGGAGAGATACTCTTGATTTCTGAAAGTTGGAACTTGGTTTTGGAGGGCCTTTTGTTTGTCTTTGTCTAGTTATGTATGTTATGTTTATGAAAAGGATTTCAGAAGGAATTTCTAGCAGGTGACCTAACTCAGGTGACCATCCACTTCCCCATTTTGCCCAGAGACCACCACAGCAAGATCTACTCATTTCTCCCGATTTTGAGTAGAGCAAGGGCTCTGGAGGCCAACAGACGCAAGTTTGAATCTTGCCGGGTCAAACTTAGGCACTGAGTGATGTGACTAGTGTCTGTGTTTTGTTGATTGTACATTGCCTTGGCTGGAATGGGAAACATTGATTTCAACATGTTAATTCCAAGCAGTCCATTGGGCTGCATCCTGCCGAGTTGGGAAGACAAGATACATCCTCATCAGGTCAGTGCAATGGGTAACTTTCCCATTAAAGGCAGGAGTCCTGTGAAAAACTATGGGAAAGGTCAAAGGCATGCCAGGTTTTCTAGAACTCCAGCTGGTTACATATTATGACTCATTCTTGTGCACATTTTTAAACTGATGAGCAAATAACAGCAAGGAAAATTCAGAGCTCACAACTGAGTTAAATGGAGTTAGTTAAAATGTACATTAAATATAGAGTCTTTTAAAGCTATCTTTTCTTTTCTGACTGCTTTGAATCTGTTGTTATTAAGCTACTGGTATTGAGATGAGACTCACTGTTTATGGTATTACTAATTCAAAACTACTTGGAGATTTTGTTTTTCTTATACAATTCAGCCAGTGCTACCTAAAATGTAAACATTGAAAACTCATTTAAAACTGAAAAAAAGGGGGGATCACCTGAAGTCGGGAGTTCGAGACCAGCCTGGCCAACATGGTGAAACCCTGTCTCTACTAAAAATACAAAAAATTAGCCAGGCGTGGTGGCCCACATCTGTAATCCCAGCTACTGGGGAGGCTGAGGCACGAGAATCACTTGAACCAAGGAGGCGGAGATTGCAGTGAGCCAAGATCGTGCCACGGCACTCCAGCCTAGGTGACAGAGTGAGACTCTGTCTCAAAAAAAAAAAAAAGAATTTTCTACAAGATTAAGCTGGGTATAATGAAAAGAAAATTATTTATAATAGCCTTTATAATTTTGGTCCCCTGGCCAGGCACAGTGGCTGACGCCTGTAATCCTAGCACTTTGGGAGGCTAAGACAGATGGATCACTCAAGGCCAGCAGTTCGAAATGAACCTGGCCAACACGGTGAACCCTGTCTCTACTAAAAATACAAAAATATTAGCTGGTTGTCGTGGCATGTGCCTGTAGGTCCAGCTCCTTGGGAGGCTGAGGCACGAGAATTGCTTGAACCCAGAAGGTGGAGGTTGCAGTGAGCCGAGATCATGCCACTGCACTCCAGCCTGTGCGACATAGCAAGACTCCGTCTCACTAAATATATATATATATATATATATATATATATATATATATATATATATATAGATAGATAGATAGTTTGATATCCTATATTAAAACAAGTTTTTCTTAAGGCATTGCTTTGCTCTTAATAAAATTTCGAAGGTTTTAATTTTTAATTCTATAACCTGTTTCTTTTTGAAAACTTCTCAGATTTCTATCTCACGATTTCAACTTCTGCTGAGGCTCACCGCTTTCAGCTTTTTCTCCCTTTGAGAAGGCATGAGATGATAACTCTCTCCTTCAACTTCTTTGTGAGCTCCAAAAACTTTTTTTCTCTGGTTCTAATTGCTGTTGTAACCTGATGCTAAAATGTTTATCTTGAAAGTCTAGAAAAGCAATGTCTTCCTCCAGTGTAACTTGATTCTCTACTCTTGGCTGTCCTTGATATGTCTGAATTGTTCCATGTAACCAGGAAACTTATCATGCTGTTACTAAGAGTCATGGAGATATTATATGATAAGTGCATAATATAATGTTCACTCATGACCCTGAACACACTCTTTCTATGTCTAAACAATTCTAACGCCCTCTTCATCAGGATTGACTTTCGGGTTATCTAAATGGGCCCCCATAAGGAGGAGCAATGACACTGCAGAAGGTTTTTCTTTGCCTGTTGGTGACTGGCCTAAGAAACAAAGATTTTACATTTTATTAAGATAATTCCTTTGTTGTCTTTATTAGGGTTTTGACAACTTCGGAAAACTGAGCTTAAGAAGAAAAGTTTTACATTCATGTAACTTTCTTTTCTTTTCTTTTCTTTTCTTTTTGAGACGCAGTCTTGCTCTGTTGCCCAGGCTGTAGTGCAATGGTGCAGTCTCGGCTCATTGCAACCTCAGCCTCCCAGGTTCAAGTGATTCTCCTGCCTCAGCCTCTCCTGTAGCTGGGATTACAGGCACGTGCCACCATGCCTGGCTAATTTTTGTATTTTTAGTAGCGACGGGGTTTCTCCATGTTGGCCAGGGTGATCTCAAACTCCTGACCTAGGTGATCCGCCCACCTCGGCCTCCCAAAGTGCTGGGATTACAGGTGTGAGCCACCGTGCCCAGCCAGCATCCATGTAACTTTCTATATTGCCTTCAAAGTCTTTGGTTAAGTGAATAACCATTATTTTACAATGACCTGTGATTCTGTTTTGACCAAACATTTAAAGCCATTTAATATATTTGATAAATGTTCTCAAAATCCAATTCTAAATGAAGTCTTATTGCTGGGGCTTATCAAAGCTATAAAACTAATCCCTAGCCGGGCACAGTGACTCATGCCTGTAATCCCAGCACTTCTGGGAGGTCGAGGCGGGCAGATCACGAGGTCAGGAGTTTGAGACGAGCCTGGCCAAGAGACCAGCCTGGCCGATATGGTGAAACCCCATCTCTACTAAAAATACAAAAATTAGCCGGGTGTGCTGGCATGCACCTGTAATCCCGGCTACTCAGGATGCTGAGGCAGGAGAATAGCTTGAACCCGGGAGGCAGAGGTTGCAGTGAGCCAAGATCGTGCCACTGCACTCCAGCCTGGGTGATGGAGAGAGACTCTGTCTCAATAAATAAACAAATAAACCCCACAAGGTTGTAGAATCTTTTTACAGCTTTCAGTCAAACTAAAGGCACTCCAGTGTCACCACCTTCAGCCTAATAATCACATATACTGGAAAAGACATCGGTTAAAGGCCTTTCTTTGGCCCCCTTGAAAGAGTCTTATCAGGTGCTGTTACCTAATCTTTGTGCTGAGTTATAGGGTTTTGACTCCTGGGTACACATATCTCATCTGAAAAAGGCACTGGACACCTACTAAATCTTGAACGTGGACACCAGTATCTGATACCAAACTTAAGTTAACCAAAGACTTGTCTTCAGACCCAGGAGAAGTTGACAGTCAAAATGAATCCTTTCTGAGACACAGGGCCGGAAATTAAAACTGTTCAATCCCTTTAGGCCCAGGGACTATCACAGAAAAGGTGGGCATGTGAGATTATAAGGGCTGGTTTTGAGGGATAAAATTAGTTCAGACCCTCCAAATCAAGGATGGGCACACAGATGCCTAAAGAGCTAATGGCTCAACATATGCAACTTATAGATAAGTCCGTTCTGTAACCTTACTTTTTGGCTTTTGGTTTTTCGTTCTTATATTGCTCAAAAGGTTTTTTGTTTTGTTTTGGTTTGGTTTTGGTTTTTTGGAGACGGAGTTTCACTCTTGTTGCTCAAGCTAGAGTGCAATGGCACCATCTCGGCTCACCAAAACCTCCACCTCCTGGGTTCAAGCGATTCTCCTGCCTCAGCCTCCCAAGTAGCTGGGATTATAGGCATGTGCCACCACACCCTGCTAATTTTGTATTTTAAGTAGAGACAGGGTTTCTCCTTGTTGGTCAGACTGGTCTCAAACTCCTGCTCTCAGGTGATCCGTCCCCCTCGGCCTCCCAAAGTGCTGGGATTACAGGCATGAGCCACTGCACCTGGCCAGTTCAAAAGGTTTTTAAGGATTAATTAGTGCCTTCCCACTTCCATGCCCATCTGGCCTAGAATGTTTAATTGGCTATAAGCCTTTGGCTCTCAGTCCCTCGGCCATAGGGGTCCCACCAATGGACTGGATGGACCTGGGGCAGGTAGCCCCAGCAATGATATAAAACAAAATAAAACTGTAGCCATAGATACTGTCTCTGGCAAATTTCGACCCAAAAGGAGGTAATATAAACTAAAACACAAAATCCTAAGCCCCACTCCCTGACTGAATGGAGCCCCTTGTGGCCAAGGGGACCCCCACATACACAAAACCCTTAAAACTGAGATCCTGACCGTGACAGGATGAGAGGTCAGACATTCCCCATTATACGCCTCCTTTTTGTGGTCTAGACACAACTGACCAACATTAATGTTAAAATGAAGATCATAAAACTGACAGAACAGACTCTTTGTGACAATAAGATCTCATGGATACCCCCAATGTTTTCAGTCTATTTTACAAGGACTTTTTTGAAATTTGGACTCACAATTTTGACAATAGCACTTATAATTTATTTTATAGTCTGGTTAGCAATTATTTATTTCATTTTGAAACGGAGTTTCGCTCTTTTTGCCCAGGCTACAGTGCAATGGCATGATCTCAGCTCACTGCAGCCTCCACCTTCCAGGTTCAAGCGATTCTCCAGCCTCAGCCTCCCAAGTAGCTGGGATTACAGGCGCCCATAACCATGCCTGGCTAGTTTTTATTTATTTGTTATTTGAGTATAGACAGGATTTTGCGATGTTGGCCAGGCTGTTTTCAAACTCCTGGCCTCAGGCAATCCACCTGCCTCAGCCTCTCAAAGTGCTGAGATTACAGGCATAAGCCACCATGCCTGGCCAGTCTGGTTAGCAATTAAATGTGCCCCATGCTAAGACAGTGGACAGGAGCACTAATATGTTCATGCTTCACCCCCAAAATCCCCAACCAGGCACTCATGAATACTTACAGGTTACTGCCAGGCAATTTCATTCCTCTAATCCTGACTATGGTCTGTGCCCCTTGCTAGCAGGAAGAAGCTAGAGTGATCTTCAGCTAATTCCCACCATATTAGTTCTCACCTCAGGACTGAGGTATGATCAAGCCCAGGGGGGACTAAACTGTCCTTATAAACTTTATAAAATTAATAACGTAAGAAGGGAGAGATGGGGAAATAAAAATAAACCAAGCTTGCAGCACATTCAACATTAATCATTAGGTAGCTTGCTCTCTGGCCCACTTCCACATTGTTGTTTGTGGCCTATTGTGTGTGAATCAAGTAAATCCAAGCAGTTCCTAAGATTATAATTTCCCTTAACTGCTCTGTCTACAGAGCAAGAAATTTTCAGTGTCTTGCTTTAAATAACTAAGCTACATTAACTACATAAGTACTTAAATGTAAAATTAAAATATGAGGAAAGAAATAAGTATAGCAACTATAACAAGGAAAGATGTTATACTTACTTCTTTCCGCAAGGAAAGGAGTATAACAACTAAAACAAGTTCAACATTATGAAACATTAAATTTTCCCTTTGAGATACCCTTTCAGGTCCTGGATACCAGTGGAACTACTAGTATCAGCTGATCTGAAGGATCTCATGGGAAGCTGATTTATCAAAGAATGCAGTTTCTTTTTCTTTCTTTCTTTCTTTTTTTTTTTTTTTTCTTTTTGGGATGGAGTTTCGCTCTGTTGCCCAGGCTGGAGTGCAGTGGCATGATCTCGGCTCACTGCAACCTCTGCCTCCCGGATTCAAGCAATTCTCCTGCCTCAGCCTCCTGAGTAGCTGGGATTACAGACATGCAGCACCATGCCCAGTTAATTTTTTATATTTTTGGTAGAGACAAGGTTTCACCATGTTGGCCAGGCTGGTCTTGAACTCCTGACCTCAAGTGATCCATCTGCCTCAGCCTCCCAAAGTGCTGGGATTACAGGTGTGAGCCACCACGCCAGACTAAAGAGTGCAGTTTTTACATCGTAATGAATTCATCCCCCTTGCCCTGACCAATCGATTACCCCAATTTCTTTTTTTCTTTTTTTCTTTTTTTTTTTGAGATGGAGTCTCACTCTCTTTCCCGGGCTGGAGTGCAGTGGCGCAGTCTCAGCTTACTGCAACCTCTGCCTCCTGGGTTCAGAGGTTTCTCCTGCCTCAGCCTCTGGAGCAGCTGGGATTACAGGTGTGTGCCACCACACTTAGCTAGTTTTTGTATTTTTAGTGGAGACAGGGTTTCACCATGTTGGCCAGGCTGGTCTTGAACTCCTGACCTCAAGTGATCTGCCCACCTTGGCCTCCCAAAGTGCTGAGATTACAGGCGTAAGCCACCATGCCCAGTCTATTTTTAACCTGCTTACCCTCCATGACCCTCAAAAACCCCAGCCCAGAATTCCTTGGGGATGTAGATTTGAGGGTCTCCTCCCATCCTTCCCTCAGAGCTCTGCAATCATTGAGCTCTTTCTGTGCTGCAAACCCTGCTGTCTCAGTGTAATTGGTCTGTTACTGCACAGTGGGCGTACGAACCTGTTGTTCTTATAACACTTCCACAAACTTCCCCTCTCCACAGGCACAAACACATAAACCCACTCCTATAATGATTCGTGAATATTTCAGGCTTTACTGAAGATTGAGAGATCTAGGGGAGAGGAGGTCAGAGTGGTTTGCCTCACTTAAAACAAACGAGCTTGACACTAAACATGCGGCCTATCTATTCAAAATGTCTTCTGGCTAACCCACCCCAGAGGAGTCTCCACTGGCCCTTCATTCCACAGGGTCCTTTACACTATCACCCCAGCTTCTCCTATGCCTCGCATCTTTCTCTTCTTGTCTCACTCAGAGCAGTTTGCTCAGCATCTTTTGCTGCTTTGTTTCCTGCTCTCTGAACCTCACATTCAACCCAGGCAGATTCTCTAGGTATTTCTACCAAAGTATCTTCCAGTAGCAAACTCACGGTGCCAGCTGTTTGATCCATTTTTGTTTTTACTTCATTACACCTGAGACGAGGGAATCCCAGTATTAGTTCCACCACAGGGATAAACAGAGGGCCCTGAAGAGGGACCCCTAAGCCAGTCTTGGAGTGGGTATCAAGTGAAAGGTTTTCCAGAGGAAGAGACATCTGAAGTAGGAACAGGAGTTACCCAGGACAAGAAGGGAGATGGCACAACCCACTGAGACTGGAAAATTTAGCACTGATAGAGTAGAACATACACATAAGGAGTAAAGCTATAGAGTAATGGGGCACACTGGGCGCGGTGGCACACGCCTGTAATCCCAGCACTTTGGGAGGCTGAGGCAGATCACCTGAGGTCAGGAGTGCAAGACAAGCCGGACCAACATGGTGAAACCACATCTCTACTAAATACAAAAAATTAGTCAGGTGTGATGGCACATGCCTGTAATCCCAGCTACTTGGGAGGATGAGGCAGGAGAATCGCTTGAACCCCGGGGGCGGAGATCGTGCCACTGCACTCCAGCCTTGGCGATAAGAGCAAAACTGCATCTAAAAAAAAATAATAACAGGGCAGCCCACAAGTAGAGTGCATCAGCTAAGGGACTGTCACTGCATTTAGAAAGCAATGCATAGATGGTAAAGGATTTTGAAGCATAATACAAGCAGATTTGCACTTTTTTCCTTTCTTTTCTTTTTTCTTTTTTTTTTTTTTTGGTAGTGGGGATGGAGTCTCACTCTGTTGCCCAGGCAGGGGTGCAGTGGCACAATCTTGGCTCACAGCAGCCTCCACCTCCCAGATTCAAGCAATTCTCCTGCCTCAGCCTCCTGGGTGACTGGGATTACAGGGGTGCACCACTACTGTCCACTGATTTTGTATTTTTATTATAGAGAGGGTTTCACCACGTTGGCCAGACTGGTCTCGAACTCCTGACCTCAAGTGACCCATCCGCCTCAGCCTCCCAAAGTGCTGAGATTACAGGTGTGAGCCATCATGTCCAGCCTACACTTTTTTCTTTCTAAAAATCACTGCAAGAATTCCCTTGAGGTTGCAGGAGGGGAGAGATCCCGGAGGCAGAGTGCGGTGGACTGGGGAAGGGGGTTGCAGCTCTAGAGTGCAGGCTGGAGATGTAGAGGAGGGGAAAAATTAGGGAGCTATATCAGAGGTAGACTGGAAACCACCTAGTGATTCATTGGAAGGGGTGCGGTGGTGAGCCAAGAGGATACCGGATCATGGTGAGGATTCAAGGGTCAAGATTGCAGCAGGTTTCACTGGTAGATGGTGTGGCCTTCTGCTGGGAGGTGGGGCATTTGGACACAGCTGATGAATTGATTCCCTCTAGTCCTCCCCTGATGGGCTCCTAACCTTCAGGGTATTTGCTTCTCGCTATCCTTGTCAGCTGCAGTGGGGGACCACAACTCCTTGAGTTCTGCCCAGCTGCAGCTGGACAATTTTTGAACACTTCTGCTCCTGGCTGATGCCTGGTGGCTTGCGGCCTCCCACAGAGAGAACAGATTGAAGCAGCTGGCACTGCAGCCAGAGATGGATGCAGTTGAGCAGAGAGAAGAGGACACAGAAGGCACCGTGAGGAACTCAGAGCTGCTCAATGGTTATGTGACCCTAGGCAATTCAGTTACCTTCTCTGAGTCTTAGATTCTCTATCTACACTTTAATGATGGGGGAGAATACTTACTTCAGACACGTGTTTTAAAGATTTCACATAAAGCGGCGGGGTGCGGCAGCTCACGCCTGTAATCCCAGCACTTTTGGAGGCTGAGGGGGGTGGATCACGAGGTCAAGAGATGGAGACCATCCTGGCCAACATGGTGAAACCCCGTCTCTACTAAAAATACAAAAATTAGCTGGGCGTGGTGGCGCACCCCTGTAGTCCCAGCTACTCGGGAGGCTAAAGCAGGAGAATCGCTTGAACCCGGGAGGCGGAGGTTGCAGTGAGCTGAGATCGTGCCACTGCACTCCAGCCTGGCGACAGAGTGAGACTCCATCTCAAAAAAAAAAAGGCCGGGCACGGTGGCTCACGCCTGTAATCCCAGCACTTTGGGAGGCCAAGACGGGCGGATCAGGAGGTCAGGAGATCGAGACCACCCTGGCTAACATGGTGAAACCCCATCTCTACTAAAAATACAAAAAATTAGCCGGGCGTGGTGGCGGGCGCCTGTAGTCCCAGCTACTTGGGAGGCTGAGGCAGGAGAATGGGGTGAACCTGGGAGGCGGAGCTTGCAGTGATCCGAGATCGCTCCACTGCACTCCAGCCTGGGCGACAGAGCGAGACTCCATCTCAAAAAAAAAAAAAAAAAAAAAGATTTCCCATAAAGCATGTGGAAGTGATTCCTGAACTGTAAAATTCTTTAAGGGAAGTGAAAGGAACAAATATTTTTGGCTAGATGAACTGAGATTCTCCATCTTACCCCCAGCTCCTCTCAGGGAAGACCTGGGGATCATAGAGCTGATATATAGAAAAGTTTAGTCCATCTTGATGGACTCAGAGTACCTTCGAAGTGAAAATAGGATCTGAGAATAGGAGCATGTACTATTAGCACAATAATGTCAAGGTTAATATTTCACAACATGGAGAGGCAAAGTCATTTTAATTGGAGGAATTTCATGTTACACTGGACTGTGTGATCCTCGTAAGAAAATAATTCTTGTACAGACATTTGCCTAAGACTAATCAGGAAAAAAGAGAGCTTAGTCATTACTGCCAGACAGAAACCAAACTGAAGTCTGGTTTTTACCTTCCCCCATTCCCTTCATAAACAAAGAGGCCCAGGGGAAGAATCGCATGAGATGAACACCTCATTCAGACAGTGCGTGATGAGGTGAGGAGTCAAGGCCACATCTATGTGTGTATGGAGCCCAAGCCCTTCCTGCCACACCAGCAGGCGAGAGCCCCCGCATCTCAGCCCTTTCAGCCTCAGCTGCCTCTGGTTCCCTTCCCCCACCAAACTTCCTCCCTCCTCCAGACACACACAAGCTGCCACCATCACCATCACCATCACCACACACAGCACCCAAGTGCCAACCCGATAGCTGAATTGGCCTTCCCTCCAGAAACGTGACAATACTGAACACCTTCCCAGGCCCTGCCCGATGCTGGCTCAGGAGAGGGGAGATCCTACCCCTGCTGGAGGATCTCCCAGTGAAGTGAGGAGAGAGCCCTAGAGGCATGTAACACTGACCCCTCCCCAAAGACCCAGTAGCCCTACCTACTCCATTTTGGAAAGTACGTAACTGGGAAGAAGGAATGCACCCAGGAATTTCTAGGATGTCATGCCTGAGGAGCCCTGTGGGAGAGGGGTTATGCCAGAAGCATAGTGGGGAAGGGAGCAAAAAGAGGCTCCCTTTTTCCCTGATTAGCGCCACTCCATTAGGAGCCTCGAGCTGCTCTTCCCCCTGCCTGGCTGACTGCTGTCTTGGGTGTGTCTGGGAATCAGCCACTGGAGACAGTGAGTGTGGTTGGGGGAAGGCCGGAGAGTGACTGCTGGTAACCCCAGCTGCACATGATGGTGGCCAGCTGCCAGCTGGCTCCTCCCAAAGCCTCCCAGCTGGCAACGGCTTTGAAGTCAGACAAGCCACGGCTCCTAGGCTGTCCCGAGGGGATGTAAGTCCAGGACCTACACACAAAGCACCTATCCAATGACAAGCTAAGTCCAGGCAGGTCCTCCTAAAGGCCCCTGGCTCTCAGACCAGCTGATGCAACTAGATTAGAAAAAACAGAACATGCAAAGCTTACTCACTGCCGGCTGAAACAGTCGGAAGGACAGTTCACAAAGCCATTTCCCATCCATTATATCATTTCATCTGCCCAAAAACCCAGAGGAGAGTCCTGCCGACCCCAGCCATGGGCACGCTGCTCAGCCTCTCTGTGCCTTAGTTACTGTCCTTGTGAAATGGGCAACAATAAGAACACCTCTTCTGCTTTCTAGCTGTTTGTCAATTTCTAGTCACGTGTCTTGGGCAATGCATTTAACTTAATTGTGCTTCAATTTTCTCACATGTCAATGAGGTTAAAAATAGAACCAACCTCATGGGATAGCTGGGAAAATTAAATAAGTTAATACACCTAGAGCACTCAAAACAATGGCTGGATGCATACAAAGTGCTCCATAAATGCTAGCAACTATTATTATTTCTGTGGTTATTATTAATCAGGGGATTGTTAGGAGGATCAACAAAACATTAACAGCTGCCATATAGTGCACATTGACCGTGTTTCTGGCACTGGGTTCAGTCTTTTATGGGAATTACCTTGTACATAATGTTTAGTACACGCTGACTGCAGCACCTAATTCATAGAGAGCCCTTAACAAACAGTAGCCACTATCCTTATCTCCCTCATTCCACAGAGGGGCAAACAACTCAGAGGCTTAATGATTTACCCAAGTCCACAAAGCTAATAAGTAAGGAGAACTTAGACTTGAATCCAGGTCTTCTGAGAAACAGGCTTCCATGATCCTTCAATTCTCACCTTCTTCTTGTCCCACCTTCCCCAGCCTGGCACTCAGCATTTGCTCCACAGCTAAAGCTGGCTTCCCTTCATGAGACACATCTGCTGCTCAGTCGCAAGGTGCCCAGCCTTCTCCGCACAGGTGTTAAGAGCTCCTGCAGGCCGGGCATGGTGGCTTATGCTTTAATCCCAGCACTTTGGGAGGAGATGGACGGATCACCTGAGGTCAGAAGTTCGAGACCAGCCTGGCCAACATGGCGAAACCTGTTCTCTACTAAAAATACAAATAATAGCTGGGCATGGTGGCAGGCACCTGTAATCCCAGCTACTCGGGAGACTGAGGCAGGAGAATTGCTTGAACCCGGGAGGCGGAGGTTGCAGTGAGCCGAGATCGCGCCATTGCACTCCAGCCTGGGCGACAGCGTGAGACACCATCTTAAAAAAAAAAAAAAAAAGGAGCTCCTGCAATGGGAAGGACCACACTTGCCTCCAAATGGCGTTTCTCCTTTAGGAGCCAGGAACCAGGCTCCAGCAGGCACAGAGGGGTGCAAGGCAATGAGACAGGGTCATAGATGTTCCCAGGGAGCAGACCCAACCCCAGTTCCAGCTCTGCCTTCTTTAGGAATAACACGGAATCACAGATGCTCCTGGGGCTCATGACTGGCTCCAACTCCAGTTCTGCCCTTCTATCTAAATGTCCCTCTGCTGCAATTCTGTGGTGGAGCCTTCCCAGAAAACAACTCCAAATCCTCCCTTAGTTGAGCAAAGTGAGTCCACAACCAGCAGCAGCCAGCTGAGGGGTGAAAGATGTTTCCCTGCACGTTACATATCAAAGGCAATGTTTTGCTTAAGACATGACTGCTGGACTGTGGGCAAGTTACTTCCCGTCTCTGGGCCACAGTTTCCTCACGTGAAATGTTGAAAAAATAAGACTCATCCAGCAGGGCTGCTCTAAGGGCCAAATGAGAGAATGGATGTCAGAGCACAGGACCTGGCACCAGAAACACAAACAGGAGGAGTCAGCACACTGTACGGACTCCACAAATGCTCACTGACCAGATGGAACTTGACAGCCCAATATGCCAAGGTGGCTCACGGTAAAGTGAGCAAGAACACCTTAAGGGAGAGTACAAGGATGTGAGACCAAGATCCTCACTGAAGAATAAAAGCCTGTGTCCACCACAGGGGGCTCCAGCCTGGAGAAGGACACTCTCCCAGAAACTCTGCAAAACCCCACTTACCATAGAAGATGGAGAAGCCGTGTGGCAGAGGCACAAGATAGCAGCCATGGGGAGATGTGACCAGTTAGGTGACAAGGAAGCAATGGAGCTGCCTTTGCATTTGAAGCTCAAGATTCATATGAGCTGGTCCTTGCCAAGAAACAGGTGCACACTGAGGAGGACCAGAGTGGTGGTATGCTAGAGCTGTCATGGATCATGGCCCACAAGAGCCAATTGCTACTTTTTCAGAATGTTTGCAAACCAGTTACTAAATGTGGCCATGGAAGGCTGGGCGCGGTGGCTCACGCCTGTAATCCCAACACTTTGGGAGGCCAAGGCGGGTGGATCACCTGAGGTCAGGAGTTCGAGACCAGCCTGGCCAACGTGCCAAAACCCCGTCTCTACTAAAAATGCAAAAATTAGCCAGGCGTGGTGGTATGTGCCTGTAGTCCCAGCGACTCAGGAGGCTGAGGCAGGAGAATTGCTTGAACCTGGGAGGCGGAGGTTGCAGTGAGCTGAGATCACACCACTGTACTCCAGCCTGGGTGACAGAGCGAGACCCTGTCTCAAAAAAACCAAAAATATGAATAAATAAATAAATGTGACCATGATTAAAATTATATAAACTTAAGTGAATATTAAAATCAATGATAATAAACACTCAAAACTCATCACTTCCTAATTATTATACTGTATTTTACTACCATCTATGCTCTTAAAGTGATTTATATCTATTATATCTCTGTGATAGAAATGCTCGGCCGGGCATGGTGGCTCACGCCTGTAATCCCAGCACTTTGGGAGGCTGAGGCAGATGGATCACGAGGTCAGGAGTTTGAGACCAGCCTGGCCAACATAGTGAAACCCCGTCTTTACTAAAAATACAAAAAAAAATTAGCTGGGTGTGGTGGCACGTGCCTGTAGTCCCACCTACTCAGGAGGCTGAGGTGGGAGAATTTCTTGAACCTGGGAGGCAGAGGTTGCAGTGAGCCAAGACCACGCCACTGCAGTCCAGCCTAGGTTAACAGAGTGAGACTCCATCTCAAAAAAAAAAAAAAAAAAGAAAAGGGAAATGCTCAGTCCTATTACATTTTTTAAACCTGAATCAGCCATAGAGTATTTACACCACAGGAATGGGCAAACCTACAAATCATGATCCCTTCCCTGCCCTACAGAGCCAGTTGTTAAACATTTATCAGCTCACCACTAATGAAGAGGCTCTCCACTGCTCCAGTGCCTCCAAGGAAATGGGCTTTTATGAGACTTTGAGTCGTGCTGTCTTGCATGCTTAGGTTGTGTTTTCTCTGTTAATTAAATTTCTGGCCACAGCTTCATATTAAGAGCCCTTACAAGGCATTTCATGAGGTCTAATGATCTCAGGAGTGTGGAAAGGCACATTTCTGCAATGAGTCTAACAATATGGAGGGCTACATGAAGCATGCTGCCCTTCACAAAGGGCAGGGAAGTTACACAAGAGGAGACCAATATAAACTTAAAGCCTTTTCTTGTCTTCCCCAACCTTCAGAACATTCCTGTAGTGTTCAGTTCAACTAACAGTTATTTCATACTCACCACAGCCAAGGCACTGGGCCAGGAGGAGGAGAAGGAAGACGCATAGTCTATTCTCAGGAAGCTTAAAGCGTGGTGAGGTGAACAGTCTCTCACCATCACATTGAGACCTACACTGAACTCCCTATTTTAAATTATAATTCCCCTCAGCACTCCTAATCCTCCCCCCTTTTTTTCTTTTTTTTTTTGGAGACAGAGTTTCGCTCTTGTGGTCCAGGCTGGAGTGCAATGGCGTGATCTCAGCTCACTGCAACTTCTGCTTCCAGGGTTCAAGCGATTCTCCTGCCTCAACCTCCTGAGTAGCTGGGATTACAGGTATGCAACACCACCTCCAGCTAATTTTTGTATTATTAGTAGAGATGGGGTTTCACCATGTTGGCCAGGCTGGTCTCGAACTCCTGACCTCAGGTGATCAGCCCGCCTTGGCCTCAAAGTGTTGAAATTACAAGTGTGAGCCACCGTGCCCAGCCAAAAACAGGCTGTTTGGGGACAAGGTATATCTCTCTCTTTTTTTTTTTTTTTTTTGAGATGGAGTCTCACTCTGTTGCCCAGGCTTGAGTGTAGTGGTGCCATCTCAGCTCACTGCAACCTCTGTCTTCCGGGTTCAAGCAATTCTCCTGCTTCAGCCTCCCAAGTAGCTGGGATTACAGACGTGCACCACCACATCTGGCTAATTTTTGTATTTTTAGTAGAGATGGGGTTTCATCATGTTGGCCAGGCTGGTTTCGAACTCCTGGCCTCAAGTGATCCACCGGCTTTGGCCTCCCCAAGTGCTGGGATTACAGGTGCGAGCCACTGCACCCAGCCCTAATTCCCCCATTCTTATTTTCTCCATAACACTTGTCACCTTCTAACATATTATATAATTTGTTTTTTTTAGTGATTTTTTTTTTTTTTTTTTTACTGTTGTTATTTCCTCGCTAGAATATTAGGTCCACAAGGACAAGGATTTTGGTGTGGTTTGTTCCCGTGCCTGGAATAGTTCTGGCCCAGAGTAGGCTATCCATCAATTTTTTATATACTTACATGTAACATACTAGAAAAAAACACTAAATTAAATCCTAATTCCTGCTCTACCACTTACTGTGTGACCCTGGGTAGGTTACTCTACCTCTCTGATCCTCCCTTTCTCATACGGTAAACTACACATTTGGACAAGGCTACAAACCAGACAATGAAAAACTCAAAATTCAATGTGTCTACTAGATATGGCAATCACGGCATGTCTGCCACATGCATGGCCACGTCTACTCTACAGGAAACTATCTTCTGCAGCCCCTAGCTCCAGGCAGCCATGCTCTGAACTCCACCATGCAGCCATCTGGCTTTCTCCAAACCCCCAACTCCTCCCTTCACCTCTATGTGATTGAAAACTATGTGAACACTTGACCCCAGGGCAGACAGAGGCTTACTGTGTAGCCCAGGGAAAGACCTGCCCTAATAAGGAAGCCTAGACCAACCCAATATTACTCTTAGAAATGTAAATTGGGAAATACAGATAAAATCAGGCACTTTACAGAGGCTTAGGATGCAAGTTTGAGACAGGCTGGAGAGGCCACGATTAGCAATTAAGTGAACCAAGCTAGAAGTCAGCAAATAGCATGAGGTAGAGAAAAGACAGAGAAAATCAAGAGTTTAGCAAGAAGAGAAGTGGGCAGAAACAGAGAAAGAGACCTAAAGGACTTGGGTAACATTTCTTGGGGAGCACTTCAGGGAAAATCCTTAAAGTCTGTTGCAGAGATCCTGGTGCTGGTCTACCCTCCACCTCCAGTACCATGCAGTTTGGTCCTATTTTGCCTTCCCCTCTCAGATTTCCACGAGACTGCCTCCCTTTTGCCCACAGACCTTTCTTGAGTGAGTCTCTATCCCTTGGAATGAAAAGAACCCAATTCAGAGATAGAGGGTAAGGCCCACAGGCTATGTTTGATTGACTTATCTGTCCTAGGAACTCCTGCCAATGTCTTGTGTGATTGTTCATCCTCTTGTTCAGAGTTGCAACAACGCTGTTTCACACAGCGTCCTTGCAAGATCTGTACAAGGAATAGGATGGTTTGGAATGGAATAGGAGGAACAAGAACAAATGCTAAGTCCCACTCCTGCCAAGGTACGCCACATAATCTTTGCTGCAACCCTATAAGATAGGTATTATGTCCATCTTGAAGGGATAATTTTTTTTTTTTTTTTTTTTTTTTTGAGACGGAGTTACGCTCTGTTGCCAGGCTGGAGTGCAATGGCATGATCTTGGCTCACCGCAACCTCTGCCTCCCGGGTTCAAGCGATTCACCTGCCTCAGCCTCCCGAGTAGCTGGGATTACAGATGCCTGCCGCCATGCCTGGCTAACTTTTTGTACTTTTAGTAGAGACAGGGTTTCACCGTCTTGGCCAGTCTGGTCTTGAACTCCTGACCTTGTAATCCATCCGCCTCGGCCTCCCAAAGTGCTGGGATTAAGGCATGAGCCACAGCGCCCGGCCTAGATAAAATTTCTTGTATTTCTTGGTTTTTTGTTTGTTTGTTTTTGTCCTACTGGGAACCCTGAGATTCCACTGCAATTCTCTTCTTGAAGTCCCAGTTTTGATCCCAAGCTCCAATATGGAATTGAAAATACGAGGAACACCTCAACAATATTCTTCCTTTTTCTCTAGGGGCCCAGGAGAGACTAAAAGCTATGAAGGAATTTGATGTGGGGAACCCCAACAGAGCCAAGAAGGTACCCAGAGACTTTAGAAACTATAGGGACTTACTTCTCAGGACCCCTTTGAAACCTAGACCTAAGAGGATGATTTGATGCTGAGACAGCATGACATGCAGAGTGACTCAATCCAACAGAATGCTAAGTCTCAGTGAGCTGTCACCCCATTCTGCACCAGATGAATAACTCTGCAACACTCAGATGATTGTGACCTCCTCCTGCCGTGCCTGCCCACATGTCACCAGTAGAAGCAAGAATGAACATTTGTGAAAAAATTAGTCTGCATTGTCAATTGTCATCCTGGAGAGAAAATGACTTGATCTTCAGTGATAACAGGAATATTACCATCTTTCAGCCCCATCTCATTTTTCTTCACTTACTCAGAGTCTTACTCAGCGACCTAATACTGAGTCTACTGATGTCTTCACCTGCAAGAGCAACCTCCTTCCCAAATCAGTTCCCACTCCTAACAGGAGCAGAGGCAATATCAGTAGCCCTTTTTTATTTTTTTTCCTGAGACAGAGTCTTGCTCTGTCGCCCAGGCTGGAGTGCAGTGGCACAATCTCGGTTTACTGCAACCTCTGCCTCCTGGGTTTGAGCGATTCCCCTGCCTCAGCCTCCTGAGTAACTGGGATTACAGGCACCTGCCACCATGCCCGGCTGATTTTTTGTAGTTTTAGTAGAGATGGGGTTTCACCGTGTTGGTCAGGCTGGTCAATTCCTGACCTCGTGATCCACCCACCTCCCAAAGTGCTGGGATTACAGGCATGAGCCACTGTGCCCAGCCGCCTTTTTTGTTCTCTTCCTTGATCTTAGGAGTTTAGGAAATGATCACACTCCCAGATCCAAGATCTGGTGTTCTACCCTCAAAGCCAATGGACTCACAAGATCCCACCAAGCAGATCTAAATGATCTAGGACTAATAATGCAGGCTCTGAAGTTAGAGAGACTTAGAGTCAAATCTGAACTCTGCCACTTAACCTTGCACAAGGCCAGTGTCTCAATTAGGTTAGGATAGTCAACAATGCTAAATAAGAAAATTCATTTCTCGGCTGGGCACGGTGGTTCACACCTGTAATCCCAGCACTTTGCGAGGCCGAGGCAGGCGGATCACGAGGTCAGGAGTTCAAGACCAGCCTGGTCAACATGGTAAAACCCTGTCTCTGCTAAAATACAAAAATTAGCTGGGCGTGATGGCACACGCCTGTAATCCCAGCTACTCGGGAGGCTGAGGCAGGAGAATTGCTTGAACTCAGGAGGCAGAGGCTGCAGTGAGACCAGATGGCACCACTGCACTCCAGCCTAGGCGACAGAGCAAGACTCCATCTCAAAAAAAGAAAATTAATTTCTCATCACAATATACGTCCAACATAGGTTAGTGGAAGGCAGTGCTCCATATTATTACTCAAGAACCCAGGCTGAGAAAGGTTCCATCTTATAATGTCACCATCACAACACATGGTGTTCAGGGATACTAAGACAGGGGAAAGATGAGGGATGGGCCAAGTTTGAGGTTTTAACCATCTCATCCCAGAAATGATACAATGGCATTCCAGTTTTGGTCCATTGGCTAGAACTAGTCATGTAGCCCTGCCAACCTGCAAGGGCCTAAGAATCATCACCTTCCTTATTACCAGAAAGTGGAGGAGAACTGGATATGAGTAAATAATTTTACTGCAGCCCAGCACACAGAGTGTGATACTACTGTGTAGTTACTTTCTTCCTTCAAGTTTCCTGTAGGTCCAATAGACCAAGGATTCATTAAGCTAAGGAAGGGCCCTGTTGTTTGTATAACCACCCATCAGAAGACTCTATCCCCCATGTCACCCTCAACCTCAATGCCACTCCACAATGAACAGGCTCAGTTCACCAGCATGGGCTTATGACCTAGGCTTTTCTTCCTAGCCAGTCTTGCCCTATTGTCCTGCTTGATTTTTTGGCCTGCCCCTCTAAGCTTGAGCCTTATCCTAATAAGAAACTTTGTAGGACTGGAAGCTTCATATCTTGTTCAGCTCTTGCCAGTTCTCCTTATGAGCAGTCAATCAATGTTTTAGCAGTGGAGCCATCTTGGATCCTCAAACTTCTTGGAGGCCAAAGGGCTAAACAATTCCCAGTCACAGCGAATTTGCTGCCAAAGATACACTCACTCAGCCTTTCCAAGGAAGTGACTGGATATGTAAAAAAGGGTTATGTACAAAGATGTTTATTGAAACATTATTTGTAATAGCAAAATATTGGGAATAACCTAAATGTCCACCAAAGGAGAATGCTTATAAATATGAATCATCCACATGATGGATGTATAAGTTATGCCTGCCAAGTTCATCAGGGTAAACAGAAGAGACAAAATCAGATTATTTATTAGGATGGAGTTGATTTCCTAACACAGTGGGACCTGCTTTCATTTTGTTTGCCCTGCAGCTCTACTATCCCAGATTTTATTGATTCATTTCAGGGCCATTCTATAGGCAGCATCTCCACTGGGCAGCCAGGGCCCAGCTCATGTGTAGTTGGGTAGCCTTTGCTACTGCATTGGTCCCCAATCCAATCATCTGTGATTAGGGGAGCGGCTAGCTCTCCTCGAAAGTAGAGAAGGTTGTCCTGGCCTCTAATGAATTATCCTTTAGTCAGTCTAATTCAGTGAAATATTATGTACCCTTTAAAAATTGTATTTACCAGAAGTTTTTAATGACCTGGAAAAGTATGCAGGAAATATCGTTAGGTTTTTAAAATTTATAAAATTGAATCTATACTCTGACATATGTTATAACATAAATTAACCTTAAAAGACAGACGCGGTGGCTAACGCCTGTAATCCCAGCACTTTAGGAGGCCAAGGCGGGTGGATCACCTGAGGTCAGGAGTTCAAGACCAGAGTGGCCAACATGGCAAAACCCCATCTCTACTAACAATACAAAATTAGTGGGGCATGGTGGTGGGAACCTATAATCCCAGCTATTCCGTAAGCTGAGGCATGAGAATTGCTTGAACCCGGGGGGCAGAGGTTGCAGTGAGCTAAGATCGTGCCACTTCACACTAGCCTGGGCAAAAGAGCGAAACTCTATCTCAAAATAAATAAATAAATAAAAATAAATGAACCAAGTGAAATAAGCCAATCAAAAAAAGGGCAATATTGTATGATTCCACTTTCTTTTTTTTTTTTTTTTTTTTTTTTTGAGATGGAGTCTCACTCTGTAGCCCAAGCTGGAGTGCAGTGGCGTGATCTCGGCCTTCACTACAACCTTTATCTCTTGGGGCTCAAGCAATTCTCCTGCCTCGGCCTCCCAAGAAGTTGGGACTAGAGGCTTGCACAACCACACCCAGTTAATTTTATGTATTTTTAGTAGAGACGGGGTTTCACCATGTTGCTCTGGGTGGTCTGGAACTCCTGAGCTCAGGCAATCCACCCTCCTCAGCCTCCCAGAGTGGTGGGATTATAGGCGTGAGCCACCATGCCCAGCCATGATTCCACTTACATGAGGTCCCAGGAGTAGTAAAATCATAATGACAGAAAATAGAAGGGTGGTTGCCAGAGGCTGGAGGGAGAGGGAAATAGGGTTTAATGTTTAATGGGTATAGAGTTTCAGTTTTGCAAGATGAATAAAGTTCTGGAGACGAATGGATGGTGGTGATGGTTGCACAACAATGTGAATGTACTTAATACCACTGAACTGTACATTTAAAATGGCTAAAATGGTAAATTTTATGTTATGTGTATTTTACCACAATTTAAAGAATTGAATCTATAGTTTCATCACAAATGTGTGAGGTTTTCTTTTTAAACAAATGTTTGAGTATATGTGTGTGCATGTGTGTGTGTATAATTATGCCTAGTGTTCTGCCTTTGGTAATGAGAGGAAGATGCTACAGTTTCTTCCCTCATGCTCTTCCTTTAGCTAGTGCAAGGGTTGGCAAACTGTGGCCCTTCAGCCATGTCCAGCTTCTCATTTGTTTTCATAAATAAAGTTTTATTGAAACACAGTCATGCCCGTTCATTTATGGATTGTCTGCTTTTATCCAACAATGGCAGAGTCAAGCAGCTGCAATAGAGACAGTATAGTCCAGAAAGCCTGAAATAGTTATTATCTGATCCTTTATACAAAAAGCTAGGCTGGGCATGGTGGCTCACACCTGTAATCCCAGCACTTTGGCAGGCCGAAGCAGGTGGATCACCTAAGGTCAGGAGTTCGAGACCAGCCTGGCCAACATGGCGAAACCCCGTCTCTACTAAAAATATAAAAATTAGCCAGGTGTGGTGGCGCATGCCTGTGATCCCAGGTACTTGGGAGACTGAGGCAGGAGAATCACTTGAACCTGGGAGGTGGAGGTTGCAGTGAGCCGAGATTGCACCACAGCACTCCAGCCTGAGTGACAGAATGAGACTCTGTCTCAAAAAAAAAATAAATAAATAAAACAAAAGAAGTTTGCTGAAGCCGGGTGTGGTGGCTCATGCCTGGAACCTCAGCACTTTGGGAGGCCAAGGTGGGTGGATCATCTGAGGTCAGGAGTTTGAGACCAGCCTGGCCAACATGGTGAAACCCCGTCTCTATTAAAAATACAAAAAATTAGCTGGGCATGGTGGCACGCACCAGTAATCCTAGCTACTTGGGAAGCTGAGGCAGGAGAATTGCTTGAACCAGGGAGGCAGAGGTTGCAGTGAGCTGAGATTGTGCCACTACACTCCAGCCTGGGCGATAGAGCAAGACTCTGTCTCAGAAAAAAAAAAAAAAAGTTTGCTGATCTCAGCTTTAGTGCATTGAGAGCACACATGGAGACCAGAAGAATGATCAAAACTTTACTGTGAGTTCCAAGCCAGAGGCTATAGGCCTGGAGACTCTAGAGCTGGTGTCTCTCCTCTATATACTTGTTCTTCAACTTCTCAACAGGCGCAAAGCCTTCTATTTAGATGAGACACCCAATGGGGCTACCCCAGGCCCCAGAGGTGAGGAAGACAAAAGGAAAAAGAGGTTCTCATGGCGAGTGTGATTTGTTCTTTCTGGAGTTGCATTACCAAGAAAGACCTTCCTAAGGTACCTGAAACTTGGAATGTACCAGAAAGTGGGAAGAAGGAAGCATGTTGTCACATTGGCAAACTTAGATACGTTTTTTTAAATCTGGAAGGACATGTAAATTCATTGTAATATCTTTTTTTTTTTTTTTAATGGAGATGGAGTCTCGCTGTGTTGCCCAGGCTGGAGTGCAGTGGTGCGATCTCTGCAACCTCCACCTCCCGGGTTCAAGCAATTCTCTTACCTTAGCCTCCCAAGTATCTGGGACTACAGGATCACACTGCCACGCCTGTCTAATTTTTTTGTATTTTAGTAGAGAGGGAGTTTCACCATGTTGCCCAGGTTGGTCTCAAACTCCTGAGCTCAGACAATCCGCCTGCCTTGGCCTCTCAAAGTGCTAGGATTATAGGTGTGAGCCACTGCGCCCGGCCGATTGCAATATCTTTAAGTTGTGGGATTATGGATAATTTTTAAGTTCTTCTCTGTAATTTTTTATATTTATGATGTGTTATAATGACTATACATTGCTTTTCTAATCAAAAGGTAAAGTTATTTTAATATTCCAAAAAATTATTTAAAAATCCCAGGAGCACACCAGGTTGAAATCCAGTGAGAATCTCATGAGAAACATTTCAACAGGGTCAAAAATCTGGGTAATCCTTAGCTAATCTAAGTTTGTTTTCTTGACCTGAACTCTACTCAGAAAGAGCTGACATCTGACAAGCCCAATATTTTCCTGGCCTGCTCAGTCACGTGACCCATAAATTTCATTTGTCCAGGCACTCCCTGCTCTCCTGGGAATTCCTGTGCCTTCTACAACGTTAAAAGCAGCCTCTAAGCTGCTGTGTACCTATTTTTCCCCTCCATTTGGTCAAAGGTTCTCTTTTCCTTTCAAGATCAAGTTTCACTCTTGTTGTCCAGGCTGGAGTGCAGTGGCTCCATCTCCGCTCACTGCAACCTCCGCCTCACAGGTTCAAGGGATTCTGCTGCCTTAGGCTCCCGACAAGCTGGGATTATAGGCCTCTGCCACCATGCCTGGCTAATGTTTTGTATTTTTAGTAGAGATGGCATTTCATCATATTGGCCAGGCTGGTCTCGAACTCCTGACCTCAGTTGATTCACCCGCCACGGCCTCCCAAAGTGCTAGGATTATAGGCGTGAGCCACCGCACCTGGCCAAAGGTTATCCTTTCAAAGGCCATAGACATGGTTCTGCAGAGCAGTAGTCAGACCTGGATTAGGCTTTGCTCCCTACCTGAGCTAGGATTAGGTATGAAAGTTTTGTCTATTAAAGGGAGGTAATCCTATCTATGAGAGAAGAAGGGATTCTGTGCTATTCTGCTCACTTACCTCTTACTCTCCCAAGGGGACTAAAAGCTAATCTGAATTGTATACAGTGGCTGGGTCTTTCTGTTAGTGATAAGGACTCCAGGTTCTCCACTGACTATTCACAGAGAAAGTATGCAGACTTGGCCAGCCTTTTATGTTATTGTCATGATGTCTGTCCTTCATCCACAAGGAAATTTCTTGTAAGGGATGTATGTAACTTTTTTAAATCTTCGTAGCCATGTTTTTTAGAAATAGACTGGGATACAGGTTTGCCCTAAGCAGTTCCCAGCTTACTTTCCTCTTTGGCTCCCCACATTCAGCATTTCCCAAGATCCATTCCATACATGTTGCCCTGGTTCCAGTTAGCCAGCATCTACTGGCTAACTGTAGAAATAATGTATGTACATTATTTCTTCATGGAGTGAGTAGATTGGTGATTCTCTTCTCCTGCTCCTCTTCCCTGGAGCAAAAGTAGTCTGAGAAGCAGGCCTTTCCTGGATATGGAAGGAGGGCAGCCATCTTGCACTTATTCCTTGATTTCCTGCCAAGTAGCTGGTCAGAGTTGTGGCATCCTAAGATTTGTGTTTAAATTCAGGGAGAGGAGGCCAGGCACAGTGGCTCATGCCTGTAATCCCAGCACTTTGGGAGGCTGAGGCGGGCGGATCACGAGGTCAGGAGATTGAGACCATCCTGGCTAACACAGTGAAACACCATCTCTACTAAATATACAAAAAATTAGCGGGGCGTGGGGGCAGGCACCTGTAGTCCCAGCTACTTGGGAGGCTGAGGCAGAAGAATGGCATGAACCCGAGAGGCAGAGCTTGCAGTGAGCCGAGATGGTGCCACTACACTCCAGCCTGGGCGACAGAGCGAGACTCCATCTCAAAAAAAAAAAAATTTAGGGAGAGGAAAAAAGACTTCAAAGGCCTTGCCTTGCCTGTATCATGGGAATCTGTACTAGGTTTTTGGCATAAGCTTAGATATTTCCTTTATGTTATAGAATCAAGACATGCTTACAAAATTTCAGACAATGTCACCTTAATCTATTAACCCCCACCACTACTCCTTATAATACCTGACTTAACAGACGTACAGAGAAGACTAAATGAAACTTAATGGGAAACAGTAGCTAAGGAGTCAGGTACATAGTAGACTTAATATCAGGGAACTTTTTCTTTCTCTCCTCCTCTTCCTTCTTCTTCTTCCTGATCTTAGGGCCCTTCATCTAATAACTATAGAATTTATAACACTGAATTATAAACACCTAACTTACTAGATTATGAGTGCCTAAGAGGACCAAGCTGTATTTGTTTTATGTTTTGTTTTGTTTTGTTTTTTCGAGACAGAGTCTCGCTCTATAGCCCAGGCTGGAGGGCAGAGTCTCAATCTCAGCTCATTGCAACTTCTGCCTCCAAGGTTCAAGTGATTCTCCTGCTTCAGCCTCCCAAGTAGTCGGGATTACAGGCGCCCACCACCACGCCGGGCTGATTTTTGTATTTTAGTAGAGACGGGGTTTTACCATGTTGGCTGGGCTGATCTTGAACTCCTGACCTCATGATCCACCCTCCTCGGCCTCCCAAAGTGCTGGGATTACAGGAGTGAGCCACCTTGCCCGGCCCCCAAGCTATATTTTTCTTATTCACCATTTAGTTCTCAGAGCCAACTCCTGGTGTCCTTGCCAGCACATTAACCACTAAGTCTTGAGATAGTGCTCCCACATTAATAAATTTCACCCTGCACCCTTATATTCCACCTCCCCTGATTTAGCATTCCCCAAGATCCACTCCACACATGTTGCCCTGGTTCCAGTTAGCCAGCTCCTACAATTCGGTGGTATGTACATTATTTCCTTGTAGAGCACGAACTGTATTTTTTTTTTCCTCAGGCTTTGATGCAGCTTGTCCCTAATTATCAGACTTAAGGTAATGAGGGCAGGCAAGAGCAGATCTTAAGGAGTACAAGTATCATCCTGCAAGGAACCTGGCTATGGAGAGTTTTTAAAAGGGTTCCAGTCAAGGGGAGACTGCTTTCCCCTAACAAGAGTGAAGGAAGTGATAGGAATCTGGAGATGCAAGATTCTTAGGTTCATGCCCTCAAATGTTCCCATCCCAGGAGTTAGTTCCTGCTCCTTTTCTATTAGGGCCCTGAGTTTGCATGAACCTTGTGAGGCTTTACATTTTGTCTTCTTCATACCTTAGTCATTCTTAAATCCTGATTTACAGCATTGCCTGCCCTGAGGTTGCAGGAGTTGAGGTTCTCCTTAAAGCTACCATAAAGTCCTTTTGACTTTCACAACATACCTTGAATTAATTGTTGTTTGACCAGAATCTGTCATCTACTGACAGCGCGTTGGCTCACATCTGTAATCCCAGCACTCTGGGAGGCTGAGGCAGGTGGATCACTTGAGGACAGGAGTTCAAGACCAGCCTGGCCAACATGGTGAAACCCCGTCTCTACTAAAAATACAAAAATTAGCTGGGCATGGTGGTGCGCACCTGTAGTCCTAGCTATTTAGGAGGCTGAGGCAGGAGAATCATTTAAACCCAGAAGGCGGATGTTGCAGTGAGCCGAGATCACGCCACTGCACTCCAGCCTGGGCGACAGACCTAGACTCCATCTCAAAAAAAAAAAAAAAGGCATCTGTCATTTACCTTCATGGTTTCTAAAGAAGGTAATAAAAGTCAGCCAACTCTACAATTCTTATAAAGGAAAAAAAAATCCTATTACGCCTATACCATCAGGTACCTTAGCTAGCTCATAATCCAGTGCTTCCCCCTCCACCCGCACCCCATTCTAATCCACCATTAGTGAGAGTCTTAGCAATTGTGATGCCCCAGCATGCCAGGGTTATCATTACCATGCCTACCACCAGCAGTGGGGTGATTGGCAAGTGAACCAGTTCCAGAGTCCAGCCTAAGAGTCAGCTTTCTAGGGTCACTCCTGGTACTAACTGTCTTAAAAATGCCTTTGCAAAAATTATAACAGTGAGAAAGTTATGACAGTGAAAGAGATCTGATCTAACCAACTCCCATCTTGCCTTTAAACCTCCAAACTGCCCTAAATCACCCCTGGGCTTAGTCCAAGCTAACTTTGGGAGACATTTAGTTTACAGTTTAAATGATAATAATCCTTCCCCAAAACTAAACTGCATTTTTTTTTTTTCCAAGACAGAGTCTTGCTCTGTCGCCCAGACTGGAGTGCAGTGGTGCAATTTGGCTCACTGTAACCTCCGCCTCCCCTGTTCAAGCAATTCTCCTGCCTCAGCCTCCCGAGTAGCTGGGATTAACAGGTGCCCACCACCATGCCCAGCTAATTTTTGTATTTTTAGTAGAGACAGGGTTTCCCCATGTTGGCCAGGCTGGTCTTGAACTCCTGACCTCGTGATCCACCCATCTAGGCCTCCCAAAGTGCTGGGATTACAGGTGTGAACCACCGCACCTGGCCACTAAACTGCTTTTGTAAAGCTAATGAAAGACCACCAGGTTAGGAGGATGAAGAACCTGAATTTTGCTAAGACGCAGACATAAATGATAACAAGCCATTATTCCAGAGATCACAAGATTTGCAACTACTCCAGTTACTCCTGTGGATAAATAGCATTACTGTTGTAGAACCTAAGATTGGCCTTTTGAGATGTCTTTTCAGGTTTTTGCATTTCTGATCAATGATTCCACCTGGCCCCACCAACCAGTCCTGTGGCCACAGCCAGAAGTGAACTCCCTGGCCTGCCAAACTATCCTTGAAAAACCCTAGCCTCTGAATTTGGGGGGAAATTGATTTGACTAATAACTGTCTCCCATATGGCCTGGCCAGCCTCATGTCTGTTAAACTCTTTCTTTATTGCAATGCCATGGTCTAAATGAATTAGTTTTGTCTGTGTAGTGAGCAGGGCGAACGCATCTGCAGTTACAGTCTTAGCCTGGGCTCGCCGTCAAAAGTAGATCCCACAACAAGAGCTCAGAGAGTAGGAAACTGGAGGGAAAGAAACAGAAAGAGGATGAGCCCACGTGTTATCAAGTTGGTCACAACTTTGAGTAACTGGCCCTTCTGAAGCATATAGACGGTAATACAGAATTATCTTCCCAGGAGAGGGAAACAGGGATGCGAGCACTTACCTGTCAGCTCCCATGCCCCCATTGTCAAGGGCTGCCTCATAGAGTGTTAAGTAATTCACATCTCCAGGAGGCACAGGTGTAAGTGTCAGGCAGACTTCCCTGGTGGGTTGGTAGGTGGGAAGTGCGGGAAGAAAACAAAAGATGTTCGTGCAACTGAGGCCAGGTACTGTCAGGCTACACTTGTGTAAAGCTGGTTGCGAAAGCAATGACATAAAAGGTGGGCCAAGTCTGCACACTTTCTTTGTAAATGGTCAGATAGTAACTATTTTAAGCTTTGCAGGCTATGTAAGGTCTCTTTCATGTGTTCTTTTTTCTTATTTTACAATTCTTTAAAAACTTGAAAAAGAAATATTCTTAGTTTGTGGCCTTAAGAAAATGGGCCACAGCCAGATTTGGCCAATGGGCTGCACTTTGCCACTTCATGGGCAAGAAGATGTGAGGCCTCCTCTGGGTAGAGAGGTCTTCCTTTACCTCTTTACTTATGAGTGCAACTACCCCTCACTACTCTCAATCCCCCTTCTTGCTTGATTTTTCTCATTTTATAAAATGTTATATAATTTACATATGTATTTAGTTTATTGCCTGGGTTATTCAATAGAATGTCAGCTCCATGCATGCATGCATGACTTTTTTTTTTTTTTTTTTTTTTGAGACAGAGTCTTGCTCTGTTGCCCAGGCTGGAGTGCAATGGCGCAATCTCAGCTCACTGCAACCTCTGCCTCCTGGGTTCAAGCAATTCTCCCGCCTCAGCCTCCGGAGTAGCTGGGATTACAGGTGTGCACCATCATGCTGGCTAATTTTTTTGTATTTTTGTAGAGACGGGGGTTTCACCATATTGGCCAGGCTGGTCTTGAACACCTGACCTCAGGTGATTCACCTGCCTTGCCCTGCCAAAGTTGCTGGGATTATAGGCATCAGCCACCATGCCCAGCAGATTCAAATATTTTCTGATTAGCAATTGTTTGAAAGAGTTTATCTAAAGACCTGGAATCAATAGAAAGGAGTGTCTCCATGAAGATAAGTGTCTGTGGAGACCAAGATTCTTATTATGCAGATGAAGACTTCAGGTAGCAGGCTTCAGAGAGAATAAGTTGCAAACATTTCTTATCAGACTTAAAAAGGGGCTAGACTCTTAGTTCATTCTCTCCTGGATCAGGAAAGCAATCTGGAAAGGGAAGGGGATTCTCTACAGAACGTAGATTTTCCCCACAAGAGACAGCTTTGCAGGGCCATTTCAAAATTTATCAAAGAAATATACTTTGAGGTAAAATACTTCTATTTCTTTCAAGGTCTGCTATGTGTCATGTTGGTATCTTACTGCTACAAAGAGTCTCTTTTGTCAGTCTTAAGGTCTCTGTTTTAATGTTAATGTTGGTCACCTGTACCTGAATTCCACTGGGAGGAAGGTATAATAAGGCATGTCTGACTACCCATTTCCATCACGGCCTGAACTAGTGTTTCGGTATTACTTTAGAATGCCGTTGGCTGAGAGGACAGGTCCTTTCGGTTGGTTGGGGAGGTCTTACAATTTTATTTTCGGTTTACACCGGTGTGAACCTCAAATATCTGAGACAGGTCTCAGTCAATTTAGGAAGTTTATTTTGCCAAAGTTAAGAATGTACGCCTGTGACACAGCCTCACAAAGTCCTGATGATATGCACCCAATGTTGTTGGGGCACAGCTTGGTTTTATACATTTTAGGGAGACATGAGACATCAATCAATATAGGTAAGATGTTCATTTGTTCCTTCTGGAAAGGCAGGAAAACTTGAAGTGGGTTGGGAGCTTCCAGGTCATAGGTAGGTAAGAGACAAATGGTTGCATTCTTTTAAGTTTCTGATTAGCCAGGCTTTCTAAAGAAGGCAGTCAGATATGCATTTATCTCAGTGAGCAGAGGGATGACTTTCAGTTCTGTTTGTCCTTTGTCCACAAGGAAATTCCTCGTGAGGAAGGCATGTAGCTTTTTTTTTTTTTTTTTTTTGAGATGGAGTCTTGCTGTGTGGCCTGGGCTGGAGTGCAGTGGCACAATCTCGGATCACTACAACCTCCATCTTCTGGATTCCTGTGATTCTCCTGCCTCAGCCTCCCCAGTAGCTGGGATAACAGGCACACACCACCATACCCTGCTAATTTTCATATATTTAGTAGAGACGGGGTTTCTTCATATTGGCCAGGCTGGTCTTGAACTCCTGACCTCAAGTGATCCACCTGCCTCAGCCTCCCAAAGTGCTGGAATCACAGGCAGTCGGCTCCATGTAGTTTTTTTGTTTGTTTGTTTTTGAGATGGAGTCTCACTCTGTTGCCCAGGCTGGAGTGCAATAGTGCAATCTCGGCTCACTGCAACCTCTGCCTCCACGCCCAGCCCCCGTGTAGCTTTTTTTTTTTTTTTTTTTTTTTTTAATCTTAGTAGCTATCTTTTTAAGGAATAGAATGGGAGGCAGATTTGCCCTAAGAAGTTCCCAGCTTGACTTTTCCCTTTGGCTTAGTTATATTTGGGGCCCTAAGATTTATTTTCCTTTCACACTGGTCACAGCAGAGGGAGACAGAGTTATTACTCAAATCAATCTCTCCAAAAATTTGGAGGCTGGGCCTTTTCAAGGACGGTTTGGTGGACCCCTTCTAGGTAGGGCCACAAGGACCAGTTGGTGGGAGTCAACAGGTCCAGATGAAGCCATTGGTTGTCAGAAATGCAAAATCCTGAACAGACATTTCAAAAGGCCAATCTTAGGTTCTACAATAGTGATATTATTTGCAGGAGTAATTGGGGAGTTGCACATCTTGTGACCTCCAGAATAATGGCTGGTAATCATTTATGTTGTAAACCAAAAATAAAATTAGAAGACCCTCTGCAACCATCTGAGTGGACTCACCCAAGGCACTCTAAAATTTAACATGAAAGACTGGTTCAGGCCATGAGGGGAAATGGGGGTGGGACATGCCTCAATATATCCCTCCAGCATTAACATCAACACAGACTTTAAGTGTGATAAGAAACATTTACAGTCTATTCTCTCTAAAGCCTGCTACTGGGAGGCATTCTGCATGATAAAACCTAGGTCTCCACAATCCCCGTCTTAATCCAGACACTCTTTTCTATTGATAGTAGCTTTTTCAACTAATTGCCCATCACAACAGAATATATTTATTTATTTATTTTTATTATACTTAAAGTTCTAGGGCACATGTGCACAACGTGCAGGTTTGTTACATAGGTATACATGTGCCATGTTGGTGTGCTGCACCCATTAACTCATCATTTACATTAGGTATTTCTCCTAATGCTATCCCTCTCCCAGCCCCCCACACCACAACAGGCCCCAGTGTGTGATGTTCCCCTCCCTGTGTCCAAGTGTTCTCATTGTTCAATTCCCACCTATGAGTGAGAACATGGGGTGTTTGGTTTTCTGTCCTTGTGATAGTTTGCTGAGAATGATGGTTTCCAGCTTCATCCATGTCCCTCCAAAGGACATGAACTCATCCTTGTTTATGGCTGCACAGTATTCCATGGTGTATATGTGCCACATTTCCTTAATCCAGTCTATCATTGATGGACATTTGGGTTGGTTCCAAGTCTTTGCTATCGTGAATAGTGCCGCAATAAACATGTGCGTGCATGTGTCTTTATAGTAGCATGATTTATAATCCTTTGGGTATATCCCCAGTAATGGGATCGCTGGGTCAAATGGTATTTCTAGTTCTAGATCCTTGAGGAATCGCCACACTGTCTTCCACAATGGTTGAACTAATTTACACTCCCACCAACAGTGTAAAGCATTCCTATTTCTCCACATCCTCTCCAGCATCTGTTGTTTCCTGATTTTTTAATGATCACCATTTTAACCGGTGTGAGATGGTATCTCATTGTGCTTTTGATTTGCATTTCTCTGATGACCAGTGATGTGCATTTTTCATGTGTCTGTTGGCTGCATAAATATCTTCTTTTGAGAAGTGTCTGTTCATATCCTCTGCCCACTTTTTGATGGGATTGTTTGTTTTTTTTCTTGTAAATTTGTTTGAGTTCTTTGTAGATTCTGGATATTAGCCCTTTGTTGGATGAGTAGATTGCAAAAATTTTCTCCCATTCTATAGGTTGCCTGTTCACTCTGATGATAGTTTCTTTTGCCGTGCAGAAGCTCTTTAGTTTAATTAGATCCCATTTGACTATTTTGGCTTTTGTTGCCATTGCTTTTGGTGTTTTAGTCATGAAGCCCTTGCCCATGCCTATGTCCTGAATGGTATTGCCTAGGTTTTCTTCTAGGGTTTTTATGGTTTTAGGTCTAACATTTCAGTCTTTAATCCATCTTGAATTAATTTTTGTATAAGATGTAAGGAAGGGATCCAGTTTCAGCTTTCTTCATATGGCTAGCCAGTTTTCCCAGCACCACTTATTAAACAGGGAATCCTTTCCCCATTTCTTGTTTTTGTCAGGTTTGTCAAAGATCAGATGGTTGTAGATGTGTGGTGTTGTTTCTGAGGCCTCTGTTCTGTTCCATTGGTCTATATCTCTGTTTTGGTACCAGTACCATGCTGTTTTGGTTACTGTAGCCTTGTAGTATAGTTTGAAGTCAGGTAGGTTGATGCCTCTGGCTTTGTTCTTTTTGCTTAGGATTGTCTTGGCTATGCGGGCTCTTTTTTGTTTCCATATGAACTTTAAAGTAGTTTTTTCCAATTCTGTGAAGAAAGTCATTGGTAGCTTGATGGGGATGGCATTGAATCTATAAATTACCTTGGGCAGTATGGCCATTTTCACAATATTGATTCTTTATATCCATGAGCATGGAATGTTCTTCCATTTGTTTGTGTCTTCTTTTATTTTGTTGAGCAGTGGTTTGTAGTTCTCCTTGAAGAGGTCCTTCACATCCCTTGTAAGTTGGATTCCTAGGTATTTTATTCTCTTTGAAGCAATTGTGAATGGGAGTTCACTCCTGATTTGGCTCTCTGTCTGTTATTGGTGTATAGGAATGCTTGTGATTTTTGCACATTCATTTTGTATCCTGAGACTTTGCTGAAGTTGCTTATCAGCTTAAGGAGATTTTGGCCTGAGACGACGGGGTTTTCTAAACGTACAATCATGTCATCTGCAAACAGCGACAATTTGACTTCCTCTTTTCCTAATTGAATACCCTTTATTTCTTTCTCCTGCCTGATTGCCCTGGCCAGAACTTCCAGCACTATGTCGAACAGGAGTGGTGAGAGAGGGCATCCCTGTCTTGTGCCAGTTTTCAAAGGGAATGCTTCCAGTTTTTACCCATTCAGTATGATATTGGCTGTGGGTTTGTCATAAATAGCTCTTATTATTTTGAGATACGTGCCATCAATACCTAATTTATTGAGAGTTTTTAGCATGAAGTGTTGTTGAATTTTGTCAAAGGCCTTTTCTGCATCTATTGAGATAATCATGTGGTTTTTGTCTTTGCTTCTGTTTATATGCTAGATTACGTTTATTGATTTGCATATGTTCAAGCAGCCTTGCATCCCAGGGATGAAGCCCACTTGGTCATGGTGGATAAGCTTTTTGATGTGCTGCTGGATTCGGTTTGCCAGTATTTTACTGAAGATTTTTGCATCGATGTTCATCAGGGATATTGGTCTAAAATTCTCTTTTTTTGTTGTGTCTCTGCCAGGCTTTGGTATCAGGATGATGCTGGCCTCATAAAATGAGTTAGGGAGGATTCCCTCTTTTTCTATTGATTGGAATAGTTTCAGAAGGAATGGTACTAGCTCCTCATTGTACCACTGGTAGAATTCGGCTGTGAATCCGTCTGGTCCTGGACTTTTTTTGGTTGGTAAGCTATTAATTATTGCCTCAATTTCAGAGCCTGTTATTGGTCTATTCAGAGATTCAACTTCTTCCTGGTTTTGTCTTGGGAGGGTGTATGTGTCCAGGAATTTATCCATTTCTTCTAGATTTTCTAGTTTATTTGCATAGAGGTGTTTATAGTATTCTCTGATTGTAGTTTGTATTTCTGTGGGATCGGTGGTGATATCCCCTTTATCATTTCTTATTGCATCTATTTGATTCTTCTCTCTTTTCTTCATTAGTCTTACTAGCGGTCTATCAATTTTGTTGATCTTTTAAAAAAAGGCGCCATCCTGGCCAACATGGTAAAACCCTGCCTCTACTAAAAATACAATAATTTGCCGGGTGTGGTGGCTTATGCCTGTAGTACCAGCTACTCAGGAGGCTAAGGCAGGAGAATTGCTTGAACCCAGGAGGCAGAGGTTGCAATGAGCCAAGATCGCACCGCTGCACTCCAGCCTGGGCAACAGAGTGAGACTCCATCTCAAAAAAAAAAAATATATATATATATACATTTTTATATATATATATATTTATGTGTGTGTATATATATACATATATACATATGTGTATACATATATATACACACACATACATACATACATATATATTTGGGTAAGTAGTAGTAGAATTTAGTAGGTAGGTTGTAAATTGGCAGCCTTTGGGCAAGGATATGGGAAGGAGTATGAGCAGAGAACTTAACATTTCTATGTGCCACTCCCTAAGAAAGTGGTGAAAAACAACAATCTTTGCAAATTCCAGCCCCTTCCAAAGGCAGAAAAGGCTCAAACTCATTTCCACTGTTTGCAGGCACCATTTACACCACCTACACCACTGCCCTTGGGCTGAATTTTGAATTTTGTTTTAGTTTGGATTTGTCTACAAGTATGTTAAAAGGCAGATGTTTTAAAACAGGTGTTCAGCTTGATTGCAACATAGGTTGCTTCTTGCCAGTTGTCTTACACTAGCTTGATGTATTTACTGAACGTGTCTGGCCCCTGTAGACATTTTGAGTAATCTACCTCTGACTTAGTGTTAAGAGTTTTTGAACAGCAGCCAGGCCTAGGTTTGAATCTTGATTCTACCACTAATTTCTTTCAGCCTCAACTTGCTCATCTATGTCAAACCAGGGTAGTTTTGCCTTCCTACTACAATGTATCCTAAAGTAGGACACTTAAGCCCCTGGATTTGCAAGATTCCTAGTCTAGTCCCTCTCCTGATTTTCCAAGGAGCTCCCCTAGCCTGCAGATATGTGGATGAAATGAAAAGCCAATTATGTTTGCTCTCAAGGCTGTTATCTTGCCGACAGCAGAAACCTTGGCATTCCAAAGAGATACCTGCAATTCTTGCTCCTGCCACCACTTGTGCTAAAATAACCACCCCTGGAGCTAACAGTAGTTATTCCCCAAAGATGGCCTCCCAGTAATCCATGGCTCTGGATATTCACTCTCTTCCCTTAAATCTGGGCAGGCCTAGAACTAAATTTGATGAATAGATGTGCCTGGAGTGATACTGAACGTCTTCTAAGGCCGGGTTATAAGAAATGATGCACCTTCACCTGGCTCCCTTGGAAAATGCATTTTTGGGGAAGCCAGCTTTCATGTTAGAATTCTAACTACTCTGAGACCACCATGCTATGAGGAAGCCCAAGCTACCCATGTAAATATGCCCTGTGGAGGAAAATCAAATGCCTGGTTGATAGTTCCAGCTTTGATCCTATTCAATAGCCAGCACCAGTTTACAAGATGTGAGAATGAAGATGCCATTTGGATATTCAACTCAGTCAAGCCTTCAGGTGACTCCAGCTCCAGCCACCATCTAACTGCAACTGCATGATAAACCACAGGCAAGAACCTTCCTGTTGAGCCCACAACAATCCCATGGAACAATAAGGAGTAATAAAATGGCTGTTTTAAGCTATTCTCTTTTGGGAAGGTTTGACATGCAGCAATAGATAATTGGTACAGGATCATACATACCCATGCCACTATTGCCTGGCATTTCTGAAGCCACATGGCTGGGGCTGAGCTTTTGCTTCCAATTGCTGCCAACATGGTAGTGAAAATTCTTGCCCAGAAGACGCTATTTCTCAAAAGCAAGGGCAGGTGACACTTCTCTCTGCATCATATTTGGAGATGGTTGCTCCATGGCAAAATTGACTTAGGCTTCCAGTGTTACAAGTCCTTCAAACCAGTCGTCTAGCCATTTCCCCAGGACATTAGCCTGCCATTAAGATAGCTGTGTTGGGACAGGTTCTGGAGTCTGCTGCCAAACTGACTATATCTCAGGATCACAGCAGAAGGTTGATGGTGCTTTCAAATTAGAATTGTTTGAGTTCTTAGTAAAGGACTATTTATAAAAAGTAGGTGTAAAGGACTCACAAGGGACAATGGAGTAACCCCAGACTAGTAACAGTGGGATGTTACCACCTTCATGCCCATAAAGATGAGAGGAAGGAGCAGCTACTGGAACCTTAATAGAGAGACTCATGCAGAGAAGTCCACTTTGAGAGGAACTGTGCGCTTCAGTCTAGAGATATAGCCTGCTTTGGGTAACACTGCAGAGAGTGAGCCCGAGAAATAAATATCCAGATTTCCCTCCCACACCCTCCTCTGATTTCCTGCTGGAGATTTTCATTTGCGAAGAAATCAAGCAAAGGCCAAAAGACAAGGAAGCCTGATGAAGTGTTATAGTAGTCTGTACAAGTCAGCCTCCTGAGGGTTGGAGTGGGGCTGAGATCAGGCTGGAAAAAGGGCAAAGGGAAGCTATCTGGCACATAGACCCAGAACCATCATTAGCTAACACTTTCAGCCCAACGCCCATCTCTTTCTCTTTTGATGAAGATTTTATCCTAAAAGTCTTAATGGCTTCTCTGCCAATCAGGTGCAACCCAATCGCTTTCAGTAATTTTAACTCTTACATAGGAAGCGTTCTGAATCCTTTGCTCCTGCAAAGGCCCCTGTGTTCCAAATTTGCCCACTTCCTCTCCAGCAATTTTCAAGCTTCAGTCATTTCTCTCTCCTGACATTTTCCCCAAAATACTTTAAGCACAGAACATATCTGGAAGGTTATGCAAAAAACTAATTATTGTGGTCATAATACATTTGGAGTCCTGGCACGGTGGCTCACACGTGTAATCCCAGCACTTTGGGAGGCTGAGGTGGGTGGATCACCCGAGCTAAGGAGTTCGAGAGCAGCCTGGCCAACATGGTGAAACCCTGTCTCTACTAAAAATACAAAAATTAGCAAGCCATGGTGGCAAGCACCTGTAATCCCAGCTACTCAGGAAGCTGAGGCAGGAGAATCACTTGAACCCAGGAGGCAGAGGTTGCAGTGAGCTGAGATCGCACCATTGCACTCCAGCCTGGGTGACGAGAGCAAAACTCTGTCTCAAAAAAAAAAAAAAAAAAAGAAGAGAGGATCAAGAAAAGGCAGACCACTGCTGAAATTTCTGTGGCCCTGAAGAAGGAGATGAGATCATGATGGCCAGAGAGAAATTCCAGGATCAGAAAAATGCTACCTCCTCTAAAAGTGATGTAAGTATGACACCTGGGTCAGCAAACCTGATATTCCAAACCACAATCACCTGCTTAGCCCCTTTTTTCCGTAATTTTTCCTCATACTTTTAGGAAGTTATTTCCAATGGAAAGGCTTTGGATTCAAAAGGAAAGACAATGAGCATAAAGATTTGGTTTCTAGAAATGTCTTTTGCCTGCTACTTTACTGGAAACTATTTTTCATGGATCTCCTTTAGTGACCCTTGATGCTTTCCTGATGGTAGCAAATGTCATTGCAAAACTGCTGGAGTTGGCTGAGCGTCCCTTCCCATGCTCACACATGCTATTCCACTCTCAGACCTTCAAAGGTTGTTACAGAGTGCGGAGATATGGATCCCAGCTCCTTCAGCCAGAACTTGGACAGCCAGACCTTGGACAGTCAGCCATTGAAGAGACATTTTATTAGTTCCCTCATAGGTGGGTAGCCCTTTTTAGTATGACAGTTCCTTTCTTCACATTCCCTGAAAAGGCTGAGTGATAGCACACACAAATACCCCTCCCCAGGGACTCTAAGCCGGGCTCCAGATCAAGGTTCAGCTCCTCCTTCTTTCTCTCTGCCCAACTGGGATATCCTGCCATAGAGGTGGGGCAGCCTTCGTTTTCATTCTGAGTGTAGAATCTTTCATGAATTTATTCATTAATTTTTAAAAAGCAATTTATTGAGTTCCTGTGCTTCAATCTAACAGGGAAGATAGACAATTAAATGACTACAACACAAAATGAAAATTGTTATAAATGAGAAGCACAGGGAATTATGGGAGCTCACAGGAGGCCCGCCAACTAAAAGGGTGGAAAAAACTTTCTGAACAACTTTTAAGCTGACTCCTGAAGAATGAGGAGGACTTATTTAAGCAAGTGTGGGGTGTTGGGGATGGGAGACAGGGGTAATTGTGTGTGTGTGTGTCTGTGTTCAGTGTGAGAAAGCAAGAAAGAATGTTTCAAGAATAAGACAATGGCATGCGTGAAGCCGAAGTAAAGAAAGCACAGAGATTTTAAGAAATTGCAAGGGCTGAGTATGGCTAGAATATAGCATACGATGGGGAGATGGACACACTGAGAGAAGAACTGGACAGGTGAGCAAAGACTAATCTATTTCTCCTCTCTATTTAAATGTTTTCATATATTTGTTTATTGAACTCATATTTATTATGTTTTTCTTGTGTGCCTATTAATGGGAGGTCATAAAAGGCCATGTAAATTAGGTTAAGGAATTTTGCCTTTATTCTAAGTGCAGTGGTATAACACTAAAGTGTTTTCTTTTTTTTTTTTTTTTTTGGAGACGGCGTCTCACTCTGTTGCCCAGGCTGGAGGGTAGTGGCGGCGCGATCTCTGCTCACTGCAACCTCCGCCTCTTGGGTTCAAGCGATTCTCCTGCTTCAGCCTCCCGAGTAGCTGGGCCTATAGGCGCACACCACCATGCCAAACTAATTTTTTGTATTTTTAGTAGAGACAGGGTTTCACCATGTTGGTCACGCTGGTCTCGAACTCCTGACTTCAGGTGATCCTCCCACCTCAGCCCCCCAAAGTGCTGGGATTACAGGCATGAGCCACCATGCCCGGCCCACTAAAGTGTTTTCATCAAGACCAAACTAACATCTTGGGAAAGCTGGTATCAATCACCAAGTTCCCCTCGGTTTTTTTCTGAGGAAAGCTCAGGAGGTTATCACCCAGATAGGATCCAAGAGCCTGAGGGGAGTGCAGAGAGCATAACCTTTCTGGGACCCTCACTACAGTATAATGAAGGAAACACCTAATGGAAATGAAGGTCAGAAAGAGTTCACTTTCCTTGCTTGGGGACTTCCTGAGAGACCTGGAGCCCCAGGACAGGAATCACTTTAGGATACCTTCTAGGGTTGAATTTCCCAGAGAAGAAAGATGAAGATGATTTCTTCATCTTTTACTTTTAACATATTTATGTCTTCATATTTAAAGTGGGTTTCTTGGCTGGGCACGGTGGCTCATGCCTGTAATCCCAGCACTTTGGGAAGCTGAGGCAAGTGGATCACTTGAGCTCAGGAGTATGAGACCAGCCTAGGCAACAAGGTGAGACCCCCATCTCCACAAAAAAAAAAAAAAAAAGGTTGGGCATGGTGATGCATGCCCATGGTCCCAGCAAGCTACTTGGTACTTGGGAGGCTGAGGTGAGAGGATTGCTTGAGCCCAGGAAGTCAAGGCTTCAGTGAGCCATGATTCCACCACTGCATTCAGCCTGGGTGACAGAGCAAGACCCTGTCTCAAAAAAATTAAATTAAAATAATAAATAAATAAATGAAGTGGGTTTCTTACAGGTGGCTTATAGTTGGGATTTGCTTTTGTATCCAATTTGACAATCTCAGTTTTTCCATTTGGGTGTTAGACCATTTACATTTAATGTGATTATTGGTACAATTGGGTTTTAATCTACCCACTTGCTATTTGCTTTCAATTTATCTCATTGGTTCTCTGTGTTTTCCTCTTTTTCTGCCCTCATTTGGATTCATTAATTTATTTTTATTCCCTTCTATTTCTTTTATTGGCTTATTAGCTATAACTTTTGCTGCTTTATTTTAGTGGTTATTTTAGGATTGATAGTATTATGAAGTACCTTCTCTCTGTCAGCTCTCTGGCAGATGAAATCCACTGCTTGAAGCATTTTGAGTAGACAGAAGTGGAAGGTGGGGTGCAGCCCACAGCTAGCTGAGTAATTAACTGCATGGAATCAGCTCTGTGTAGTGGTGATAGCAGGAAACATCATCCATGTATGTGTTCATGGAACAGCAAAGCCACAGATATTAGACAGCAAATCAGGCAGGCTCTAAATATGGGGTAGTCAATAACCAGGGCAGCAAAAACCAAAGCAAAAGGACCATGGCTTGAGAAGTTTTGTGGGAGCCCAGGAACATTTTGGAAACTTTCAGATCCGAAAGGGGAGAGCCAAGCTACCTGCCTCTTGTTTAGACTGGCCTGGACAGGCTGAGCCTTCAAATACAGTGATGAATGAACCAGCTGCCAGGAGCTGAGGTTGAAACAGAAGCTCACACTCCAGGTCTATTCATGCTTCCCATGGAATGCCCTCCTCACTATTACCACCTGTCTATATATTTTCCATATTTATTAGCTAGCTCATATGCCCCCTCTGACAGAAAGCCAATGGGATACAATTTTCTTATCTTCTAAACCTCCAATCATCCTACCCAGTATGTCCTAGAGAACACATCACATTTTGCCTTTCATTTTCAGTCATGATTGTGCCTCTGTTTATATTACATAAAGTATCTTGAAGACAGTGACTACTAACTTTGTAATGGATTCTAATCCCATCTCTGCATAGCGATACGTAAGGCTGAACAACTCCTTTAGTCTCTCTGAGCCTGGTTCCTCATCTGTAAATAAGCATAACAAAACCCGCCCTGGCTATAACTCCCACAGTTGTTGTGAAGTGCCATCAAAGTCAAGCTTATTAATGTACTTTGTAAATGGTGACATGTTAGGCAAATGTGACTACAGATTGGGAACATTAAAGTACTAAATATGTTTAAGTAACGTCTTTTTTTTTTTTGAGATGGAGTCTTTTTCTGTCACCCAGACTGGAGTGCAGTGGCATGATCTTGGCTCACTGCGACCTCTGCCTCCCGGGTTCAAGTGATTCTCCTGCCTCAGCTTCCTAAGTAGCTGGGATTACAGGCAAGTGCCACCACACCCGGCTAATTTTTTTTTTTTTTTTTTTTTGTATTTTTAGTAGAGACAGGGTTTCACCATGTTGCCCAGGCTGGTCTCAAACTCCCGACCTCAGGTGATCCACCTGCCTCAGCCTCCCAAAGTGCTGGGATAACAGGCATGAGCCACTGCGCCTGGCCTAAGTAATGTCTTTAGTAGGTCCCTGAGCAAATAATGGCAGGATTAAAGAGAGGCTGCCCATCCTATCCTCCCATCTCTACACCTCTGTAAGAGCATAGTTAAGACCATGGACTCTGAAGCCAGACTGCCTGGCTTCCGTGCCAGCTCCACTCCTCCTGAGCTTTGTGACCTTAGGCAAGTTATTGAGCTTTCCTGTAAGCAGTATTTCTTATTCACTGTTACATCTCCCAGGTGCATAATTGGGATCCAGTGTCAAAGAGCCAGAGCAGTATTGAAGGAAGCAGAGGATCAAGTATCAGCAAGCTATCTTAACTGGCTGGGCCATGAGCATGTCACCTAACCTCTCTGGATGACTTTCTTGATCTATACCTCAAAGCTAGATGAGCTGCTTTTAAATAGTCTTCTATAATACTTTTAAGTTCTTTTAATAAATAATTCTTGGGCTGGGCGCGGTGGCTCATGCCTGTAATCCCAGCACTTCGGGAGGCCAAGGCGGGCAGATCACAAGGTCACGAGATCGAGACCAGCCTGGCCAACATGGTGAAACCCATCTCTACTAAGAATACAAAAATTAGCCGGGCATGGTGGTGCATGCCTGTAATCCCAGCCACTCGGGAGGCTGAGGCAGAAGAATTGCTTGAACCTAGGAGGTGGAGGTTGCAGTGAGCTGAGATCATGCCACCACACTCCAGCCTGGGAGACAGAGCAAGACTCCATCTCGGAAAAAAACAAAAACAAAAGCATTCATTCTTAAAGATCTGTTTTACACTTCATAGTAGAGACTATTACTTCAGTTAAAAATAAATGACTTTGGTGAGTACAAGTATGTTTGAAGAGCAAAAATCTTGCTTGGCCTCTTACACGTCAAGACCGTGGCAAAGCATTTAAGCTTCCTGATACTCAGTTTCCTCTTTGGTAGCGACAGTATAGAATTGCCATAGGAATTAGATATTTAAAGCACCTAACACAGTTAAGAGCACAGAATAGATGCCAAATAAATAATAGCCAGCAAAGCCAAACAATAATTACAACTTAGCTTTAAAAATTAATTTTTAAAAATGGATTTTAAAAGCTTGAAATCAGTCTTTATGGGCCCTAAGTGTTGAAATACTAGTCATTCACATTTAAGTTACCAACCACCAAGAATTTACAACTCAGTGGGGATCCACTCCTCTCTACCTTTGTTTGCATTAGTCTTTTCCTCTGATATAAACTTTCCCCTTCCCTACTGATGAATTCCTACTCATCCTTTAATACTCAGATCAAATATCGCTTCCTCCAGTGTCTTCCCCACTCCTCTGGACAAATATAAGCTTCTCAGTGCCCACACACTTCTATGACAATAGTCATCATGTGTCTTTTCAAATCTTATATGTCTTTATAATTTTATCTCCTCTTCTAGACCATGAAACTCTCAAGGACAAGGATAAGCACAGAGTCTAGCATACTGTAGGTACTCGATTTTTTTTTTTTTTTTTTTTGAGATGGAGTTTCACTCTTGTTGCCCAGGCTGGAGTGCGATGGCACGATCTCGGCTCACCACCACAACCTCCACCTCCTGGGTTCAAGCGATTCCCCTGCCTCAGTCTTCTAAGCAGCTGGGATTACAGGCAGGTGCCACCATGCCTGGCTAATTTTGTATTTTTAGTAGAGATGGGGTTTCTCCATGTTGGTCAGGCTGGTTTCGAACTCCCGACCTCAGGTGATCCACCTGCCTCAGCCTCCCAAAGTGCTGGGATTACAGGCATGAGTAACTGCCCGGCCTGGTACTCAATGTATTTTTAATGTTTGAATAAAGGAGTGAAAGCAATAAAAAAAAATTCTGCTTTTAGTTGTCACTTAGTAAATTCATTCATTATTTATAACAGGAAGACAAAATTAGAGGCCTGGCATAACTCTACAGGCTCAGGTGTAAGCCAAACACACACACACACACACACACACACACACACACAACCTAATCAGAGTTTTTTAGAAATTCAGTCTTAGAAATAAGATAGGATGGATGTGAGGGCAATCTGACTGCGACATCTGCCACCCATTGATCACCAGGGATGATTTGGTTGATCTGGCTGGCTAGGCGGGTGTCCCCTTCCACCCTCACTGCTCCATGTGTGTCCCTGCTGAAGCCGCACACTTGGTCGAAGAGGACAACCATCCCCAGTAGAGGAGGACCAGTCTTCAGTCAAGGGTATACGAATAGCTGCGCTCCCCTGCTAGAACCTCCAAAGAAATAGGATAGGATTTTGTGATGGTTATGTACCATCTCTTGACCATAAAAAGTCCTACTCTCTACATGCTGTATTATTGAAAGCATCAGAAAAGCATCCAAACACTTGGGAATCATATGGCTCATCTTTTCAAATCAAGGCAAATAAGAACAAGAAACAAACCCAGGATTAGTACACTATAACCACTGCCCCAGACAGGTTTAAAGTTTCAACCAAGTTTGGTGGGAAACCATGCTTGGTCTGTTTTTTTTTAAAGAAAATTATAACTCTGGTGCTCAATTATGGATGTTTGAAAACTGAAGCTGAATCACACACATCTATATTCTGGGATCATTTTCCCAATATGTGAAGAGTTCAAAAGTTCAGATCGAAGCCGGGTGGGATTGCTCACGCCTGTAATCCTAGTACTTTGGGAGGCCGAGGCAGGAGGATCACTTGGGGTCAGGAGTTCAAGACCAGCCTGACCAACATGGTGAAACCCCATCTTTACTAAAAAATACAAAAATTAGCCAGGTGTGGTGGCACACACCTGTAATCCCAGTTACTCAGGAGGCTGAGGCAGGAGAATTGCTTGAACCCAGAAGGCAGAGGTTGAAGTGAGCCAAGATTGCACCATTGCACTCCAGCCTGGGTGACAGAGCAAGAATCTACCTAAAAAAAAAAAAAAATTCAGATCAAGCAGGTTTACAGCCATCACTAATTACTGTGGGGAGCTAGGGGAAGTTACTCTATCTTTCTGGGTATTAATTTATTCATTGCAAAATGAGAGCATTGGAATGGATGATTTCAAAGTCCCTTATGACTCTTAGCAAAGTCACAGAAAAGGAGAATCACAAGGCTTTCATCTGGCATAAGCAGAATTGGCATATGCCAATATAATACTTTGAGATTCAAGAAAGAAGAGCCTCTATCCAAAAATATCTCTGTCACAGTAGCCAAGGACCAAACTGCACAAGTTGAGGTAGTGGAAGACACAGAGGCTTTGGAATCAGCCAGACCTGGCCTCTAACTCCAACTCTGACACTGGCTTTCTGTCAGTATGCAAATTACTTAATCTCTCTAAACCTCAGTTTTCTTATTTTTAAATGTAATGGTCAGTCCACACTCTGTTATTTAGGGTGTAGCAATGGCGGTCAAGTGCAGCATGGATCTGAGAGGGGCAGGCCTCCCCAACCTGCAGGGTTAGTGATTAGGCAGAAATTAATGAGTTCAGATTACCAGCCTCTACTCCAACAAGGGGCAGGATGAGCAGGGACCAGTTGCCTTCTGAGTCTCCCTGAATGTATGGACTTAGTCTGACCCTCTTCCAAAGCCCAGCCTCAGTGAAAAAATGAACCCCTCCCAGGTCTAGCCAACAATATAATTATAGTTCATCTTCTCCAAATAATGGAGCATTGACTATAATATTGTTTTAACTGTGGTTTTGGATTTTTCTGAACCTGCCATTCCATCCTTACTTGCCAATACCCCCATTGAATCTAAAGTTGAAAGTTCACTATATAATAATATGTTAAGAAGTGATGTTATGGGTTTTTCCCTTTTGTTCAATGAACGACATAGAAATCCCCTTAAATGCTTTCCAGAGCCTGGCAGACTTGAGCCTAATTTTAGAGCAGCAGTCTTAGAGTTAAAGAGAATTTGAGGGCCACGGGGCTCATAGGAGCAGAAGACCTAGTCTGCCCCAAAGCATCTTGGGAAATGTGTCCAGTGCAGAGAAAAAAGGAAATGCAGCCATGTTTTCCTCTCACATATGGTTTTGGACAGGATAAAATGAGATAATTTCTGCAACACACCTACATGGTGCCTAGCCATAGGAGCAACATTAAGTGGTAATTACTATTATTACTCACAGCTGGTCTGTGTAGCTCCAAAGTCCATCAATGTTCTGCTATGCATACTACCTCCCTACCCCAAATGACAGTCTCCAAACTTTTTGGATAATATATCACTATAATTTTTTTTTTTTGACACGTAGTCTTGCTCTGTTACCAGGCTGGAATGCGGTGGCATGATCTCAGCTCACCGTAACCTCTGCCTCCCGGGTTCAAGTGATTCTCCTGCCTCAGCCTCCCAAGTGGCTGGGACTAGAGGCGCCCACTACCATGCCCGGCTAATTTTTCTATTTTTCGTAGAGACGGGGTTTCACCATGTTGGCCAGATGGTCTCGATCTACTGACCTTGTGATCTGCCTGCCTCGGCCTCCCAAAGTGCTGGGATTACAGGCGTGAGCCACCGCGCCTGGCCCATCACCATAATTTTTTAAAGGTTTAGCATACAGACTCCAAAATACCAAAATATGCATATTCATATATTTATATAATATACAAGTACTACTTTACATGTTAAAACTTATTACAAGAGAGATAGTTAAAAGCCACACAATGTATGAAATAAAATCTTTAAATAATATTTATTTTATTAATTTCTAGAACAAAAAATATCTGTAAGCGATGTGTTCAATGTGTTTCATTATTTTTATAATGTTGGTTTAAGGAGGCGGAGGTTGCAGTGAGCCAAGATCACGCCACTGCACTCCAGCCTGGGCGATAGAGGGAAACTCAGTCTCAAAACATTTTAAAAAATAGACTGGGCACGGTGGCTCACGCCTGTAATCCCAACACTTTGGGAGGCCGAGGCGGGCAGACCACCTGAGGCTGGGAGTTCGAGACCAGCCCGACCAACATAGAGAAACCCTGTCTCTACCAAAAATACAAAATTAGCGGGGCATGGTGGTGCATGCCTGTAATCCCAGCTACTTGGGAGGCTGAGGCAGGAGAATCCCTTGAACCCAGGAGGCAGAGGTTGTGGTGAGCTGAGATCGTGCCATTGCACTTCAGCCTGGGCAACAAGAGTGAAACTCCAACTAAAAAATAATAATAATAAAATATATATATATATATATAAAATTTTAAAAAGTAAATATAAAAATAAATAAAAATCTTAGTTTAATGTTTTGTGTCACAGCAATTTGAAGGCCTGCATCTAAGTTCAGTTTATGATCAACACTTAATTCTAATGGATGACATAGATGGAAAAAGAACCTCACATGGAGGTTCCAAATAGAACCAAATGGAAGAACTCTCTTGCTTAGCTGCACTTACTAAATCATAATTGCCATCTTTTAAATCCTATCCATCATTCATGCAGAGGTTTTTGTTGAAATTTGGCCCATAGATTTTCATTACTCTTTTTTTTTTTTTGAGACGAAGTCTTGCTCTGTTGCCAGGCTGGAGTGCAGTGGCACAATCTTGGCTCACTGCAACCTCCAACTCCCTGGTTCAAGTGATTCTCCTGCCTCAGCCTCCCAAGTAGCTGGGATTACAGGCACACGCCACCATGCCTGGCTAATTTTTGTGTTTTTAGTAGAGATGGGGTTTCACCATGTTGGCCAGGATGGTCTCGATCTCCTGACCTAGTGATCCGCCCACCTCAGCCTCCCAAAGTGCTGGGATTATAGGCATGAGCCACCACGTCCAGCCTTTTTTTTGAGATGAGGTCTCACTCTGTCTCCCAGGCTGGAGTGCGATGGTACCATCTCAGCTCACTGCAACCTCCGCCTCCTGGGTTCAAACAATTCTCCCACCTCAGCCTCCTGAGTAGCTGGGATTACAGGCACCTGATATCATGCCTGGCTAATTTTTATATTTTTGTAGAGAAGGGGTTTCACCATGTTGGCCAGGCTGCTCTTGAATTCCTGACCTCAGGTGATCCGCCCACCTCGGCCTCCCAAAGTGTTGGGATTACAGGCATGAGCCGCTGTGCCCGGCCTGATTTCCATCATTCTTGATGCCAAAAAATTACCCAGCAAGCAAATTAGAAGGGGTTGCATGTTTATATTTTTTAACAATTAGATTCAAAACCCACTACAATTCTTTAGGAGATTATTAAACATATTAGAAAATTCTTTTTCCAAGTGCATTCAGCATGCAGATGACAAACATATGTACTTTCCACAACAATATTCCAATAGAGACATTTCCTCAGAGTCATTTTCGAAAATGTCCTCTGCGTATCTTTTAAAAAGTAGTTTGTTTCTCATTATTAGATGTCACTTTTACCTTGAAGAAACAAGCTATTTAATCTGTTCTTATTTTTCCTTTAATTTGTCTGCTAGGTAGCATACTATTGACACCCACTTGACACATAAAATACCAATAAATTGGCTGGGTGCAATGGTTCACACCTATAATCCCAACACTTTAGGAGGCTGAGGCGGGCAAATCAAGTGAGCCCAGGAGTTTCACACTAGCCTGGGCAACATAGCAAGACACCCACACCCCTTACCTCATCCCCATCTCTAGATAATTTTTTTTGTTTGTTTGTTTTTGTTTTTGTTTTTTTGAGACGGAGTCTCACTCTGTTGTCCGGGCTGGAGTGCAGTGGCACAATCACAGTTCACTGCAACCTCTGCCACCCGGGTTCAAACAATTCTCCTGCCTCAGCCTCCCGAGTAGATGGGATTACAGGCACCTGCTACTGTGTCTGGCTAATTTTTGTAGTTTTAGTAGAGACAGAGTTTCACCATCTTGGCCAGACTGGTCTTGAACTCCTGACCTCGTGATCCACTCGCCTTGGTCCCCCAAAGTGCTGGGATTACAGGCGTGAGACACCGCACCTCGCCAACAAAAAATTTTTTTTTAATTAGTCAGGTGTGGTGGTGTATACCTGTAGTCCCAGTTTCTCTGGAGGCTTAGGTAGGAGGATTGCTTGAGCCCAGGAGGTCTAGGCTGCACTGAGCTGTGATTGTACCACTGCACTCCAGTCTGGGCAATGGAGCAAGACTCTGTCTCAAAAAAAGAAAATCAATAAATGGCAGATTTGTCTTTAACTTCAACAACCTTTTAAAGTGTTTTGACAGAAGATAAACGATGAACCTCTGTGTTTATGGCTACCCCATCTCATTATAAAGCAGGGGTCCAGCTATGGCCCTTACATCAAATCCATTCCACTCTTGTTTTTATAAAGTTTTATTGAAATACAATCACACTCATTAATTTACATACTGTCTATGGCTGCTTTCACCCTACAGTGGCAGAACTGAATCACTATAATAGGGACCATATGGCCTGGAAAACCTAAAATACTGACTATCTTCTTTACCAAAAAAGGTTGCCAACTTCTGCTATACATCATTATGAAGTTTTTAAGATTAAAGTTTCTGTTTTCACAAAATTTATCACACCTAAAATTCCTGGAATTTTAGTTATTATGGCTCTAACTTCTTTGCTACAGTAACTGCATATGAATGATGCGGTCATTAAATTTCACTTATGCTCTATTCCTCTAGCCTTATCCCTCTTGTATTTAAGAAGTAATTATAATTATAATTGAAGGTATAATTATATCTTAATATAGCCCCTCCAAGATACATTTTTCTTAATGGCGATAGAGAGAATTGTTTTCTATGTATTTCAATATTGAACCAGAATCCAGCAAGTATCATAAATTGAGTCAAGTTAGAAATATCTGTACTTTCATCCAATTATATCAGAAACCTTCCACGATGTCAAATCTACCCTAATGCTTGTTTCCTCAGATCTTCAGCAATCTTTTCTATGCATTTTCCAATGATATTTGCTGACAAAGGAACACATTTTTCTTATTATTTCTGCCAAGTTTTACCAGGGCAGAAGAACACATATTTCTCTAATAGTATGTAGCTTTTTAACCTCTGCTGTTAAGCTAAAATCTATAAAGTTAGTGAAATTAAGTGAAATTGAGCAGTGCCTGATTAAAACATCCCTGTAAAAAAGCTGTAAGATTGGACTGCATACTCTAGATGCTTCATTTCTAAATGTTATGATAACCATGACAATTTTATGGATAAAACTCAAGCACAAGATACACTTTGGGGCAATGTTCATTGTCAGTGATGTTAGACTTAAATCCACAATTCAAACAGGGCTCCATGATAATGTCTAATTTTTTCGACACCTCTTGTCAGATCTCACTAGATATCATTGTTTTATCTCTTAATGTGGCAGACAAAGAGCTCATAACAGAGCAGAAATGTTTGTTTTGCCATTTTCTCATTGTTTCCTTATGCTTCCATTATAGGTATTGTCTTAAATTTACAATGTCATTACAGGTATCTTTTTAAGCTTTTTGTTCATTTTGTGAAAGTTACTTTAGTTCAAACTAGATAATGCATTTTTCTTAGAATCCACACTGGCCCAAGTAAACTGCAATATATCACAGGATGCTGAGAGCCAACACCCAGAAGAAGACAACTCAGTCAAGTCCTCCATGTTGTGGAAGCCCCACTCTTCCCTTAGAGAACTCATGAACTATTCTTGACATTTGACCTATGTGAAGACACAAATATCAACCTGTATATTAGATATTGGCAACACAATTTTTCTTTTAGAGGTCATAATAATTTTTTATATGGTGCGTTGCCATACACATTCTACACTGGAGACCACGATACTATACAATGATTTTGCCATTTTATTTTATTTTATTTTATTGAGACAGAGTCTCACTGTGTCACCCAGGCTGGAGTGCAATGGTGCGATCTTGGCTCACTGCAACCACTGCCTCCCAGGTTCAAGCAATTCTCCTGCCTCAGCCTCCCAACTAGCTGGGACTACAGGCGAATGCCACCATGCCCGGCTAACTTTTGTACTTTTAGTAGAAACAGGGTTTTGCCATGTTAGCCAGACTGGTCTCGAACTACTGACCTCAGGTGATCCACCTGCCTTGGCCTCCCAAAGTGTTGGGATTACAGGTGTGAGACACCGTGCCTGGCCAATTTTGCCATTTCAAAAAGCACAATACTTAAAGGAGGTGAGAGTTATTCTGCTAATACAGTAAGGTATTATATTAGGTTGGTGCTCAGCAAGTATCCAGTTGCTTATTGAGTACTTACCATATACCAACATACACACACACACACACACACACACACACACGAGTATATCAGGTGCTATGAGTGTTACCAAGATGAATCAAAATAAATCAGACATGAATTGCATTCAACTCCAGTCATTCACTAATTTATTCATCCACTAAGCAAACAATTACTGGGTGCCTTCAAGTTCCAGGGACAGAGTGAGTCACTATGGATTGGTGTCTTCGTGACTTCCACTTCAGATATGGCAAACTATTTATCCAACTTGAATTAGCTTGGATAGATTGTTCATTATTATAGTAACTTTTCATATTTTGGCGTCCTAGAGTTTGTTCTCCTATCCTAATAGCACTCCAGTTTCCTATTGGATAACACACTTTCCCCCACTGTGAGACAGTGAACCAAGCTGAAACTACAGGGTCAAAGACACCATGAATAAGGAGAAATTTATTCTCTGCAGGGAGAAAGCCAGAATTAAAAGAAGCAGAGATGAAAGATGAAAGGGTCTTAGGAAAAGAACAGCCTTATTTCCTTACTTTCTATCTACCTTTTATAGACCTTCTGAGGCCCAACTATGTATACCTTATTTCTTCTTCATAAATGTCTATAACATGGCCTCACTGTCCTGGACATTAGTTGTTATAGCCATATAATAAATGTACCATTTTACTTGGGTTAATTTTAGTGAGTTTCTCTTCCTTGCAACCAAACAGTTCCTGAGAATAATTTGGTCCCAGGAAGAGGCATTGCAAACGAGCACTAAGAGGAAACTAGGAATGATTGTTGTAGAACTGTGATACTCTCTTCCCTTCCCATCACCACCTTCCACCCCAGATAAAAAAGTTGGAGGTGTGAGATCTGAGATATAGAGTTTGAGAATCAGCTGATTAAACTTTAATCTTCAGTCTCCATCTCCATGTAACTTTAAGAAGAGTATCTTGAGATAGAGGAAAGATAAAACTCATTTCCAGATTGCCTGGCTTGAAATAGATTAGGGGGAAAAGAACACTCTGGGGGACTGGTAGAATCCATTTATTGCTATCCCAGCTTGGGGGATCTGGTAGTCTTAGTTAAGCCATCTAAGTACAGGTGTGAAAACTCTTTCCCATCATTTCTCTGAGGGTCTAGGAGTCATCTTTAGTCTAACAAAGAGGAAAGGTATTTTGGTAGAAATACCGTAAGAGGTAATTGGCCAGTGGCAGAAATAGATATATGCTTCAAGGTGAGCATTGCTTCTACAGGAAGGAAAACTATTAAGGAGACCTGATGTAAAATGAGCAAGGTTTCCTGAAGGGTGAATACCTGATCTTCAGAAGCCAGGGGATAAGTAATATAAGGCGTTCAATCTTGTGAAAACTGCAGTCAGCTGGCAAAGTTTCTAATCCAATATGACTCCGGGGGCACAAAGACAAGGCTTATTATGGACATCTTCTCAATTCACTTGTCCAGATTTTTCAGGTGGTGACCCCAATCCTGAGCCACTTTTCTGACTGTGGATCAATGGTCCCTCTTACTTTCTCACTATATCCCTTTCATCCTTTCACACTTGAAGGTTTATTCCTTCTTCCTTCCCTCCCAATTCCCCATCAGAGTCCTTAATGAGTTGACTCAGGATCATCAGTAAGAACTTTGATGGCCAATGAAAAACCAAAGCAGGGTAAAAAAAAGTAAGCAATGAGCAACAAATAGTAGCCCTTTCTCAAGAGCATGGAAGCATTTTTGAAACAATAGTCTTCAAAACACTATTGCCTAAATCTTCACTTCCTGGAAGGAAAGGGAGGTTAGACAGAGGACAGATAGATAGGTAGGTAAATAGAGACAGAGATAGACATTAAGAAATAGGTGTAGATTGTCTTAGTACAGTTTGTGTTGTTATAACAAAACACCTGAAATTGATAATTTTTTTTTTTTTTGAGACGGAGTCTCGCTCTGTTGTCCAGGCTGAAGTGCAGTGGCACAATCTTGGCTCACTGCAACCTCCACCTCCCAGGTTCAAGCGATTCTCCTGTCTCAGCCTCCCAAGTAACTGTGATTACAGGCATGTACCACCATACCCAGCTAATTTTTTTATTTTTAGTAGAGACAGGGCTTCACCATTTTGGCCAGGCTGGTCTCGAACTCCTGACCTCAGATGATCCACCCCGTCTCGGCCTCCCAAAGTGCTGGGATTACAGGCATGAGCCACTGTGCCCGGCCATGAAACTGGTAATTTATTTTATTTATTTATTATTATTTTTATTATTTTTTGAGATGGAGTCTCACTCTGTCACCCAGGCTAGAGTGCAGTGGTGCAATCTCAGCTCACTGCAACCTCTGCCTGCCAAGTTCAAGCAATTCTCCTGCCTCAGCCTCCCAAGTAGCTGGGACTACAGGCACGTGCCATGATGCCTGGCTAATTTTTTGTATTTTTAGTAGACACGGGGTTTCACCATGTAAGCTGGTCTCGAACTCCTGACCTTGTGATCCACCCATCTCAGCCTCCCAAAGTGCTGGGATTACAGGTGTGAGCCACTGTGCCCTGCCTGAGACTGGTAATTTATAAAGAACAAAAATTTACTTTCTCCCAGTTCTAGAGGCTGGAAAGTTCAAGATCATGGCACTGGCAGGTTCAGTTTTTTTATGAGGGCTGCTCTCTGCTTTCAAGATGACACCTTGTTGCTGCATCCTCCAGGGGGAGAAACACTGTGTCCTTACATAACAGAAGGTAGAAGGACAAGTGAGTCCAATGCTATTTGAAGCTTCTTATATAACAGTTTTAATCTCATTCATGAGAGGAGGACCGCTCATGATTTAATTACCTCTTAAAGGTCTCACCTCTTAATACCATCACATTGGCCATTAAGTTTCAATACCTGAATTATGGAGGGGACACATTCAAACCACAGCATGGACATACAGATTCTATTTTAAGGAAGGTAGCCACTGCTTTAAAGTAAGATGAATGATTTCTTCTAGTTCCAAATAGTTCAAAAAAAGACAGTCTGGTTTTTTTTTGTATTTTTTTTTTGAGATGGAGTCTTGCTCTTCTGCCCAGGCTGGAGTGCAGTGGCACGATCTCGGCTCACTGCAACCTCTGCCTCCCAGGTTCAAGTGATCTTCCTGCCTCGTCCCTCCTAGTATAGGCATGCGCTACTATGCCTGGCTAATTTTTGTATTTTTAGAAGTGACAAGGTTTCACTATGTTGGCCAGGCTGGTCTTGAACTCCTGATCTCAGGTGATCCACCTGTCTCGGCCTCCCAAAGTGTTGGGATTACAGGTGTGAGTCACCACACCCGGCCAAAAACAGGCTCTTTGGGGACAAGGTAAAAAAAAAAAAAATACAGGCGTGAGCCACTGCGCCCGGCCCTTTTTTTCCTCTTTTCTAAATTAAAGTTTTTTATTGTATTACATTCCTCAATTAAACATGGGTCGCTGAACCGAGAGAAGTCATATTCAAAGCAGCCCAAGAAGAAGAAAGATCCCCCAGAACTTTGGACTTGGAGCTTAACCTGCTGTTAAATACATCAAATTGTTTTGCTGTGGGAAAGGGGGTGAATATATTTTAGGTATCTGTATGAGGGCTGTGTGATTTCCAGGAACTGTCTTGGAATACTATTATGGGAGGAGAGTTTGTATTAGACTAAGCAGTCAAGGGGTAGACTGTAGCAGACTGTGGTTACTTACTTTTCCTCCCAGGAAGCTTTCACTTGTTCCTCCTGTTAAGAGATTCCATTATGCTGGCCACACACTGGGTAAATGATGCAGGTCTGGCCAATTCCCTTGGCAATAGCGATAGTTCAAGGGGAAGCATGCAACACAAGCAAAATCAATGAGAACCTTCATCAGGATTAAAATAGAGACTTGGGAAGAAAGATGTTTTTTCTCTTCTCTGGGGTTCCTAAGCTAGGACTACCAAAAGCCACGTCCATATGGAGAAGCAAGAGAGAATGACACCAACATGAACTGAAGAGCAAACACAAGTAATGATGATCATGAGAACAGGAGAAAAAACAAGTTTGTCATAGGGAGGCCTCAGTGCTAGCCCCTGAGATCATGGTTCTTCCTTTAGTTCTGTAAACTACTCCATTCCTGCTCTGTGCTCTAGTAACAACCACCCCCTTTTCTGCAGAGTCTAGTTTAAATTGGGTTTCCATCACTTTAAAGAGTCCTGACAGGCCAGGCGTGGTGGCTCGTGCCTGTAATCCTAGCACTTTGGGAGGCTGAGGCAGGTGGATCACCTGAAGTCAGGAGTTTGAGACCAGCTTAGCCAACATGGTGAAACCCTATCTCCACTAAAAATACAAAAATTAGCTGGGCATGGTGGCACATGCCTGTAATCCCAGCTACTCAGGAGGCTGAGGCATGAGAATTGCTTGAACCTGGGAGGTGGAGGTTGCAGTGAGCCAAGATCATGCCATTGCACTCCAGCCTGGGCAACAAGCAAGACCCTGTCTCAAAAAAAAAAAAAAAAAAAAAGAAAAAGAAAAAAGAAAAGAAAAGAAAAAAAGAGTCCTGACTAATACATGCCCAGAACCGTGGGGAACACAGAGGGATAATTTAACACAAATTTAGGACTTTTGTTGTTGACATTGTTATTATTATATTTTTTTAACTGTAATACAAGCCTAGGGTAAAAATTCAAACAGTATAAAGAGGTATATTATCTAATTATAGAATAAGTCTTCCTCCTAGAACCCTGCTTCAGAAGAAAAAAACCTGTTAACAGCTTCTTTTGTATCCTTCCAGAAATTTTCTTGAATTAAACTTATAGCACACTGAAGGATCAAGGAGAGAATGAAGCGAGTGAGATATATTACTCTCAGATCTAGCTCAACAAAGCAGATATATCAATATTATGTCATTTTTCCCCTTTTCTGATTATACTTGGTTTAAATTTGCAGTTGTAAAATTGCCTGTGAATGTCTACATTTTATATTTTTAAGTAAAAGCCCAACAGGGAAAAACTAACTAATGAGTTTTGTTTTGTCATCATGTAGGGCTTTTACAACATAGTTTAAAACACTCAACATCTTGAAACAATTAACAAAATCATTCACCTTCACAGAAAGTTGGTTTGTTTTTTAAGGCCTATAAACATAGAGGAACTTTTATTTTATTTTATTTTATTTATTATTTTTTTTTTGAGACAGAGTTTCACTCTTTTGCCCAGGCTGGAGTGCAATGGCGTGATCTCAGCTCACTGCAATCTCCGCCTCCCGGGTTCAGGCAATTCTCTTGTCTCAGCCTCCCAAGTAGCTGGGACTACAGGTGGCCACTACCACGCCCAGCTAATTTTTGTATTTTTAGTAGAGACGGGGTTTCACCATACTGGCCAGGCTGGTTTCAAACTCCTGACCTCAAATGGTCCAGCCACCTTGGCCTCCCAAAGTGCTGGGATTACAGGCGTAAGCCACCACGTCCAGCTGAATTGTTCACTTTAAAGTGGTTAATTTTCTGTTATGTGACTCTTACCTCCATACTAATAATGTTAATGTTTAAAAGATGGAAGTTATACCTTTTGCAAAGCAAATCTAAATCAAAAGATTTTTTTAAGTCATAACCTCTGACAAAAACAAGAATTAACCTGTATTAAGAACCTACTCTAGGCAAGAAAGACCCTGTGCTAAAAACTTTCCAGTAAACAATAGACATAATATATAAATTATGATAGTATGCTAGAAGGTGATAGATACTATGAGGAAATAAGTAAAATAAGGTTAAAAGGATTAGAAGAGACAGAGGGGCAGGGAGCAGAATTTGAAACAGTGGTCCTGGAAAGCACCATTGAGAAGGTAACATTTAAGAAAAGATTCAGCCAGGAGCAGTGGCTCACACCTGTGATCCCAGCACTTTGGGAGGCTGAAGTGGGTGGATCACCTGAGGTCAGGAGTTTGAGACCACCTGGCCAACATGGTGAAACCCCATCTCTACTAAAAATACAAAAATTAGCCAGGCGTGGTGGCACAAGTCTGTAATCCCAGCTACTCGGGAGGCTGAGGCAGGAGAACTACCTGAACCCAGGAGGTGGAGGTTGCAATGCTGAGATCACGCCATTGCACTCCAGCCTGGGTGACAAGAGCAAGACTCTGTCTTAAAAAAAAAAAAAAAGAAAAAGAAAAGATTCAGAGGATGATACGGAGTTGGTCAAGCTGATATCAGATTTCTGGGGGAAGAAATCTGGGAGGAGGAGGAAGGGGGAGCATCCAGTGCAAAGGCCTTAAGGCAGAGACATGTCTGACATAGTCCAGGAAAAGCAAGGTCAGCATGGCTAGAATGGAGTAAACAAAGGAGAAAGTGATAGGAGAAATCAGAAAGGTAATTGAAGGGCTTTGGCTGTTACTCTGAGTAAACTGGGGAGCCACAGCAGACTTTAAGAACCATGGCCGAAGCAGAAGACTACATTGAGAATAAATTGGAAGGAGGGAATGAAAGACAATGATAGCTATGACCAGTGAAGTAACAATGGAGATGGTGGAAAACCGTCAAATGCTTAATGTATTTTGAACACAGAGTTCAGAGAATGTCTGATAGATTGGATTCGAGGTGTGAAAGAAAGAAAGAAGTTAAGGATGAGCTCAAGGTTTGGGGCTTGAACAACTGGAAAAGAGAGATGCTATTGCCGGGCACGGTGGCTCATGCCTGTAATCCCAGCACTCTGAGAGGCTGAGGTGGGCGGATAACCTGAGGTCGGGAGTTTGAGACCAGCCTGACCAACATGGAGAAACCCTGTCTCTACTAAAAATACAAAATTAGCCGGTGGCACATGCCTGTAATCCCAGCTACTCAGGAGGCTGAGGCAGGAGAATCACTTGAACCCAGGAGGCGGAGGTTGCAGTGAGCCAAGATGGCGCCACTACAGTCCAGCCTGAGTGACAAGAGGGAAACTCTGTCTCAAAAAAAAAAAAAAGAAAGAAAGAGAGATGCTATCACTGAAATGTAGATGGCTTTGAGTGAAGCAGTTTTGAAAGAGGGATAGGGAATGAGAGAAGAGGATAGCCACAAGTTGCATTTGAAATGTCTGTTAGAAAACCAAGTGGAGGTGGCTCAGAGAACTGAGGTGATTTTTGAAAGAATTGAGCTATCCAGTCCCTCCACCTCCTTGCAAAGCAATAGTATTTAATTATGATAGTATCAGTCAAACTCAATGTTTTCCTTTTTAACACTTCCATATATGTTCCTATTTATTTATTTATTTTGCATTTTAAACTTCTTTTTAATTGAGGTAAAATGGTAAGGCTTTTTCTCTGAAGATTGAGGTCTTTACCCTGCTCCACTGTCAAATTGTGACATGATTTTTTCCATACTTCACCTTGTGTCCCTTCACCTACTTTTCTTTTGAGACTGAGTCACGCTCTGTCGCCCAGGTTGGAGTGCAGTGGCATGATCTCAGCTCACTGCAACCTCCGTTCTGTGGGTTCAAGCAATTCTTCTGCCTCAGCCTCCCTAGCAACTGGGATTACAGGTGTGTGCTACCATGCCCGGCTAATTTTTGTATTTTTAGTAGAGACAGGGTTTTGCCATGTTGGCCAGGCTGGTCTAGAATTCCTAACCTCAAGTGATCCACCCACCCAGCCTCCCAAAGTGCTGGGATTATAGGAATGAGCCACCCAGCCCTCACCTACTTTTCTAAATGGGAATATAATTTACTCTTTAACTCTTCTCTTTCCTTCACACCTTGAATCCAATCTAACCAGACATTTTGGCCAATGTGTATTACTCTTTTTTTTTTTTTTAAAAAAAGATACTACTGCAATTTACTGTTATTTTTAAGGAAGCTATGACTACATATCTTCCAACAATTATGTTAAAAGAGTCCACAAATGGTGATTGCCAAGGTGTAATTTCCAAGACTTGTAGGAGATCTAGCCAAGTGAAATATGACACCTCCAAAAGGAACCTGGACTACAATCTATCTGACATATGTTATATACCTGGATTCATTTCTTAGGGCTGCTGTAACAAAGTACCAGAAATTTAGTGGCTTAAAACAGCAGAAGTGGGCCGGGCGCGGTGGCTCACACCTGTAATCCCAGCACTTTGGGAGGCCGAGGCGGGCGGATCACAAGGTCAGGAAATCGAGACCATCCTGGCTCACACAGTGAAACCCCATCTCTACTAAAAATACAAAAAATTAGTCGGGTGTGGTGGCGGGCACCTGTAGTCCCAGCTACACAGAAGGCTGAGGCAGGAGAATGACGTGAACCCGGGAGGTGGGGCTTGCAGTGAGCCAAGATCGCACCACTGCACTCCAGCCTGGATGACAGAGCGAGACTCCGTCTCAAAAATAAAACAAAAGAAAAACACAGAAGTTTATTCTCTTGCAGTTCTGGAAGATAAAAGTCCAAAATCAGCAGGGACGTGCTCTCTCTGAAGGTACTATGAGAGGATCTTTTGTTCCTCTTCCATATGTGTCTGTTTTTAAAGTTCCCTTATGTTACAAGAACACAAGTCATTTAATTTAGGACATCCTTTAATCTTGTATGGCCTCACCTTAACCTCATTACATCTGCAAATACCCCATTTCCAAATAAGGTCACATTCACAGGTATCAGGGGTTAGGACTTCAACATATCTTTTTGTGGGGACACAGTTCTCAACCCATAACAACACCAAACCTCAGTTATTCATTCATCTATTCACTGAAACTAGTACCTGTGCTTGGCACACTTGCAAATACTGGAGATACGAGCATGAACAAGATGACATAGTTCTTGCCATCAGAGAGCCTATGATCTGGTGTGGGAGGCAGACACTTGCAGTTCAATATGGTAAAAGAGAAGAACTGAGGCTGGGAGCAGTGGCTCATGCCTGTGATCCCAGCACTTTGGGAGGCCGAGGCGGACAGGTCACTTGAGGTCAGGAGTTTGAGACCAGCCTGGCCAACATGGTGAAACCCAGTCTCTACCAAAAATACAAAAATTAGCCAGGCGTGGTGGTACATGCCTGTAGTCCCAGCTACTCGGGAGGCTGAGACAGGAGAATCGCTTGAACCCAGGAGGCAGAGGCTGCAGTGAGCAGAGATTGCGCCACTGCACTCCAGCCTGAGCGACAGAGCGAGACTCTGTCTCAAAAAAAAAAAAAAAAGAGAGAGAGAGAGAACTGGCCAAGCATGATGGCTTGCACCTGTAATTCCAGCTACTTGGGAGGCTGATGCAGCAGGAAAATCACTTGAGCCCAGGAGTTCAAGATCAGCTTTGGCAACATGGCGAGACCCCCATCTCAGAAGAAGATGAAGGAGAAGGAGGGGAAGAAGCAGAAAAAGAAGGAGAAAGAGAAGGAGAGGAAGAGGAGGAGGAGGAACAACTGAATAACATGGGAATTCAGAGATACGACACTTAACTCAGCCTGGAAAGCCAGGCTGGCCTTACCACTTTCTGAAGTAAGCCATATCCAAACTAAGACCTAGATGGTGGCATAGGAGGTACAGGGAAGAAGACTCCAAGCAGAGGGATCACATTTGAAGTACAGATGTTAAAGAAATCATGCAGCCGGGTGCAGTGGCTCAGGCCTGTAATCCCAGCACTTTGGGAGGCTGAGGTGGGTGGATCGCCTGAGGTCACGAGTTCGAGACCAGCCTGGCCAACGTGGTGAAACCCCATCTGTCTCTACTAAAAATACAAAAATTAGCCAGGCGTGGTGGCACATGCCTGTAATCCCAGCTACTCAGGAGGCTGAGGCAGGAGAATCCCTTGAACCTGGGAGACGGAGTTTGCAGTGAGCCCAGGCAACAAGAGCGAAACTCTGTCTCAAAAAAAAAAAAAAAGTATAAAAATTAGCTTGGCATGGTGTAATCCTAGCTACTTGGGGGGCTGAGAATTGCTTGAGCCTGGGAGGTGGAGGTTGCAGTGAGCCGAAATCAGGCCAGTGCACTCCAGCCTGCGTGACAGCGAGACAATGTCTCAAAAAAAAAAAAAAAAAAGGTAATAATAGAGTTTTAATATTGGAGACAGAATAAATCAATAAAAATAATCCCAACCATTAATCTTTAGTTTAGCCTATTAGTTTCAAACTTTCTTCCACACCAAACCTCTTAAAGAGCACATAAGATGAAATCAAATGAAGTTTTAGCTTGGGCATAAACAAGGCACTGTGGGCATCTCACAGCCATGCAGATCAGACAGAGAGGATGAAACAAAACCTGACCCTGCATCTACACAGCTGAATCTTGGGCAGGAGGAATAAGCCCAGCTACAAAAGCAAATATCAGACTGGTAGCCTGATGGGTGAGACACAATGGCCAAAGGACACAGGAAGCCCAGGCGTGATTGAAGCAACTCTCTAATCAAATGGGTGGAGCAAATGGAGAGGAATCCAAGCATCTTGTCTGCCCTCCCCAGTCAGGCACACAGGCCAGCAGACAGGCAGGTAGGAGGTTATTTGTAGACACATTGTCCATGGGTAGTAATGGATAAGATCCAGGTTCTGTCCCAGGGAAAAGGGCTGGCAAGTGCCACATAGTATGCCAGGGCCCATTCCCAGGCTGAGTTCAGGAGCAGTGTGCAGTCCTAAAAGGGGACCGTGCCTCTGGGCGGGAGAGCTAGGGATCAGGTAGAAGCTGGATCTCTGGGTTGGGCCAACAATAGCCAGAGAGAGGACAGATATCACTCGGGGAAACATGACTGTCAGAGGATGTTACTGGACTAACAACCTCCAAGTTTCAGTGGATGACTGCGCACCAAGTCCCACCAGAGGCACTGAGGTGGTTAATCTACTTCCTGCCTGAATTTGTTCAGACTCAGAAGCTGGGGTGGGAGGGTGGCAGCTGAAAGTGAGATGCATCAGTGGACCCAAAGGGAAGCAGCTGGGCAACATAAAGGCATGGAAACTGAGGCAGGAAGTCAATAGGGTTGACTTATTCTGCTTTACTGTGCACCGTGCATGCCCACTCTCTGGTGGAGGTGCTCATGGGAAAGAAATGACTACAGTTAAATTTCCTACTTAGAGGTCTAATGGAGTGACATTAAGAAACAGCCCTTCATTCCACTAACATTTATTGAGTACCTCCTATGTTCATAGCATAGTCTCTGGCTTCAAGGGTCCTACAGTAGAACAAGCACGATGGGAGATTCACAGAAATAACTCTGTGAGAAGTCCCATCCAAGTGCTGTGGAGCACAGAGGGAAAAAGAGGAACATCTAGAAGAAAAGAAAAGTCTCCTAAACTTCTTGAGAAGGGACCATGGCTATTTTTGCCTGGATAGCCCAATTCTAATTATCACTCTATCCGAGAGTTTAATTGCCTCTGGGTGATGCCAGCTGCCTTGAACTACAGGTCTGAAGGCACAGCTGTTGCTACTTGATCTACGTCTCCCTTAACTAAGTCTCAGGTTTGTAATCTTATCACACAGGGAACCTAGGGTTCCATATGACAGGACTGAAAATCCCTAGCTCTGTCACTTACTAAATAGTCATGTCTGCCTTTTCTAACCTTCCTGAACTTCAGTTTTACTCCTTATAAAATGAGAATAAAGACAACCCAAACTTCAAAGGGCTGTTTCAAGGATTAAGTGGAAGTCATGTATATGCACGGGTTTTGTAAACTTTAAAGAGCTAGAAAAACATTTATTTTAATGGTGTCTCAACTTGAGTCTGCACTGGGCTGCAGCCATGCCTGGGTGTGTTTGATGACCTGGTCTGTGGGGCTTCTGGGTGTCACTCCGTGTGAGGATGAGGAAGTGGTTTGGCTCACATGCCAGAAAAAGACGCAAAGACGGCTGGGCAGCATGTGGGAAGCTTCAGATATCTATGCCTAACCTGGCTCTGTGGACGGAAGTCAGAACTCAGCAAAGAGGCTGGGCGTGGTGGCTCATGCCCGTAATCCCAGCACTTTGGGAGGCCAAGGGGGGTGGATCATCTGAGGTCAAGAGTTTGATACTAGCTTGGCCAACATGGCGAAACCCCGTCTCTACTAAAAATACAAAAAAAAAAAAAAATTAGCTGGGCATGGTGGCACTCGCCTGTAATCCCAGCTACTTGGGAGGCTGAGGCAGGAGAATCACTTGAACCTGAGAAGTGGAGTTTGCAGTGAGCCAAGATCGCGCCATTGCACTCCAGCCTGGGTGACAGAGTGAGACTCTGTCTCAAAAAAACACATAAAAAAATAATAACTCAGCAGAGAGAGGGGCTCCTCACTGTTTTCAAAGGGCGATGTTACCACTGCCGCTTTCAGGCCTGCTGACAAACTAAAATGCAGAAAGGGAGGTGGAGGTGAAGGCACATGCTGTCTTCCCAGCACAGGGAGAATTCCAGAGCATTTGTCACCATTTAATCACCTGAAGAGTTTCCTCACCAGGGGAACACATTCTCCATGCAGATACAGCATATAAGGCATTTGCTGCACCTTCCCCTGGAGTTGTCAGGTGACCTGGAGACATTGCCAATGTGGGGGAGAGAGGAAGTGTAACAGGAGTACTTGTGAGTGGCTGCAAAATGCTCCTGGGGACAAAGTCTCAGGGGCAAGGGTCAGCAATGACAGGCCATTGCCCCTAATATGACCCCAACAGTGACACTCACAGGTGGGTGAGGCCTGGAGAAACTCGGCCACATGACTCTTCTGTCAGGATGAGTGTTAGATGCCATGTGTGTTCCCACGCCAGTAGCTGCTATTTCCAGTTGCTTCAATTGCTTCATTTGTTCAGGGAACCTGAGAAGGAAGATGTGTTACCCAGCAAGGCTAGAAGCCGCTTCTCTTAACAAAGACCACCCAGAAGTGAGCCGAGGTATTGGAAAGTACCCAGTGTGTGCTTTTCAACAAATGCTGCTTAAAGCTGCTGCAGTGTCCAGTAAACCATTGCTCTTGGTTCTCATCTCAGAGTTTTCCAATGCTGAGGGAATGCAGACAGAAGAATGTGTAAGATTATGACACAGGAGCTGCATGGTGAGGTGTAAAGGAGGAGAGAGGAGCAACAAATTGTGCCCCAACAAGAAAACGTGAAATGTCCGGTTTGTTTTTTTATTTTTTATTTTTTGAGACAGAGTCTTGCTCTGTCTGCCCGGGGTTGGAGTGCAGTGGTGCAATCTCGGTTAACTGCAGCCTCCACCTCCCGGGTTCAAGTGATTCTCCTGCATCAGCCTCCTAAGTAGCTGTGATTACAGGCACGCGCCACCACACCCAGCTGATTTTGTATTTTTAATAGAGATGGGATTTCACCCTGTTGACCAGGCTGGCCTAGAACTCCTGACCTCAAGTGATCCGCCCACCTTGGCCTCTCAAAGTGCTGGGATTATAGGCATGAGCCATCGCTCCTGGCCAAAATGTCCCTTTTAAGTGGAGTTGGAGTTGGGGGACAGTGCAGGGAGCTGTGGGCAAAGGTGAGTCAAAGAGAACAAAATGCCCCCCCTAAAGATATGGCAGGAAGTCTGGCCAAGGGTGGGGACATTGGTTTATTTTCTCTTTCTCTGCAGCCCACCACCATTAAGGCTAGAATTCTGGATCAAGCATCTTTAGAGGAGCCTCAAATGTGCCTGCATTCACTCAACAAGGAGAGAGTAAATAATTCATCCAAGGTCTGCCAAGAGAGCTCTCTGGCACCATAATGCTTTCTGAGGTGGAAGGTTAGCTCTTGCCAGACAGGGAGGAGCCCAGCCAACAACAGGGGTCTCCTTAGCAGTTTGGAATCTCTGTACAAATGCCAGCTCACAGCCACTCTGACTTGTCCAGCAGTGCCCTGGGCCCCTGCAGTATGCCTCGGACTAGCTTCATCCAGCAAACTGCTGCCTCTGACAGTCTGATGTCCATTTTCCCAGCCTGTACTGAGTGTCAATCATGGGCCTGAGTGAAAGAGACATGACCCCTGACTGCCTTGGAAGAGCCGGCTTAGGACAGGATAGGGTGGGAGGGCAGTGGATCCACGGGTCCCAAAACGGGTGGTGAGTAGCCAACTGGTGAGCAGACAGGTGAGGGTTTGGGGAGAGAGGGGCATTTCCTAGATGTAGAGCTATTTAAGCAGAGTTTTAAATAGTTAAGTTGGAGCTCACCAGGCAGGAAAAGAAATTAAAAGGAACAGCTAGAGTTTTGTTAGAGCTTACTATGTGCAGGCATTGTGTAAAGGGCATTTCAGAGAGAGCGAACAGCTGGTGTGAATTCTTAAAAATCTGAAAGTGCATGCTATATGGATAGGCTAATTCTTGTAAAAAACTTATTTTTATAGATTTAGGGGGTGCAAGTGCAGCTTTGTTACATGAATATATTACATAATGGTGAAGACTGGACTTTTAGTGTAACCATCACCCAAATAGTGTACATTACACCCATTAGGTAATTTCTCATCTCTCACCACCCTCCCACATTTCTGAGTTTCCAATGTTAATTATTTCACTCTCTATGTCCATGTCTGTATATATATACATAATTTACATAATTTAGCTCCCACTCATAAGTGGGAACATGCGTATTTGACTTTCTGAGTTATTTCACTTAAGATAATGGCATCCAGTTCCATCCATGCTGCTATAAAAGAAAATTTCATTCTTTTTTATGACTGAGTAGTATTCCATGGTATAGATTATATACACACACACACACCCCCCACACACACACCCACCCACACACACATCTCACATTTCCTTTAATCAGAATAGGCACATTCTACGCATTTGCCTATACACAGGTGAATTACGTGTAGATAATGTTTAGTGTACCGTGGGAGTTGTAAAAGATAAAGCTACAAAGGAAAGTTAGAACTGAAAAGGCCTCACAAATTTAAATATATATATATTTATGCATAGATCTGGAAAGATATATGTCAATATGTTAGCATTGATTTTGGCGATGAAGACTCTGGAGATTCATTTTTACTCTTTCTATTCTGCATTTCATTTTATTTTTTTTATTTTTTTCACCAACAAAAAGAGAAGAGGTTGAGGAGGTGGGTGGTCTGAATACTGTTTTAGAAAGTGTGTGCTTCATGCTGCAGGCACTGGGGAGCCACTGAAAATTCTTAAGCAGAAGACCAAGGCAACTAGACACCAGCCATCAAGAGCTGCTTATGCGGGAGGCCCTCGGTGACTCACTTGCTCCTACTTCCCTGGGACTATCTTCCTCATACCACCTGCAGACCCAGAAGTCAAGCCTGTAGGATGAAACCTGTCCATCCACGAGATGGGAAGCTGCCAGTAATGATCGAAGAGGCACAGTCAATGTGAGTGCTTTTCTCTGCCCACTCAGAACTCCTCAAAACTTGACAGTGGGCACAAAACAACGTGGCTCTGCCCCAAGCACAAGGACAAGGGGGAAAAGGACAGGTGGCAAAGCATTCACAAAAGCTAACAGGAGAAAAGGCAGATTGGTTTCTTTTCCTACAACGTAGGAGCTTTTATTACTAGAAAATAAAATCCTGTCTGAGCAAATGCCAGGAAAACGATTAAGGGCTCAATTTAGATTGGGAGGCTTGGTTGGGCACTGCTAGGCAGGGAGCTAAACAATGTCAGCCCCACTCTCTATGCACATCACGTTTGGGGTGAGTGGCCCGAGCCCCAGCCAGGCCTTTCACCACCAGTTTTGTAGAATTACAGTTAAGCTTTGGCCACTTGGTTTCAGTTAAAAGGATTGTGTGGAAGGAAGGATAAAAGGCTCTTGCACGCAGACCAGCTATTGCGTCTGAGGACTAAGAAGAAATGCAGCCAGGGTGGTGCCAGACCTTGAAGAAACCCTTCTTCCCTGTGGTTCTCAGGCTCTCCAGCCTGACCCAGGAAGGGCAGGAGAGGTAGAGGAGCACGGGCTGGCTTTGAGTCAGACAGGCCCGGGTTGGAGTCCCCATTCTACTGCCTGTGGGGCCTGCAGGCAAGATTTTAACTTCTAACTTTTTTTTTTTTTTTTTTTTGAGACAGAGTTTTGCTTCTGTTGCCCAGGCTAGAGTGCAATGGCGTGATCTCAGCTCACTGCAACCTCTGCCTCCTGGGTTCAAGCAATTCTGCTGCCTCAGCCTCCCGAGTAGCTGGGACTACAGGCGTGTGCCACTGCACCCGGCTAATTTTAGTATTTTTAGTAGAGATGGGGTTTCACCACGTTGGCCAGGCTGGTCTCAAACACCTGACCTCAGTTGAGCAGCCTGCCTCGGCCTCCCAAAGTGCTGGGATTATAGGCATGAGCCACTGTGCCTGGCTGGCAAGATTTTAACTTCTCTGAGTCCAGTGTCTTCATCAATAAAGTGAGGATAATGACGCCCAGAATTATTATGGGAATAAAATAACATGAGGTATGTAAAGCACCAATAAAGTAGATACTTGGTGGTTGGTAGCTCCTTTTTATCACTTTTTTCCCTCCAAGACCTCCTAAGGGAAACAATTGTGATGCAATGGGAAAGACATGAGATTAGAGTTTGAGAAACTAAGGTTCTAGTTCAACTACTAATGAGCTGTGTGACTTTGGGCAAATTACTCAGTCTCCCTGGGCTTCACTTTCTCCCACTGAAAAATCTTAGATTAAATAATCCCTAAGGGCCCCTCTATCTCTGACTTTCAATATTAATTATAATTACTATCAGGAAACAGTTGCTGTGTGCCAGGCATGTTGATCAGCAATGCACATGTATTATCTTATCAAGTATTATTATCTTTACTTTACAAGTGAAGAAAATGAGGTCTATAGGGGCTTAAGAACTTTTCCCAGACTGTATAGCTAGTAAGGACAGGCCAGGAGGTGTTTGCTCTGACTTACATGTTTAAAGAAAAAAAACAAAAAACAAAAAAACAAAACTAATTAACCTAGCCCCAGGGTTCTAAGTCTTTGTACTAAACGGGTAATAAAATCAAACCACTCTGCAGGTTCTAGGTCAGGTTTAAATGGCTACCAATTCATGAAACTGTAACTGGGGATTCAGGCCTGAGGAATACTAATCACTTGTCGCAGAGTGAAACAGGCCCAACAGAGGAGACGCTCATATCAGAAGGTGAGAAAAAGGTGCTGCAAATGGTCATTCCTGAGACTTTCAATCAGGGCACCAAGAAGGCATTGTGGTGGGGACCCAGAGAGCTATGAAAACTGGCAGCTGTCAATCAAGTGGGCAAGCAGAAGCAGTCCACAGCTAGGGATCAGTACAAGCAAGGATGGCAGAGGCCTCTCTGCAGTGAAACATGGGCTCAAGCAGAGATGCAGGCCATTTGAACTACACCACTCTGGAGTGAGTAGGGAAGAGGGAAAGCTGTGACTTGGCAGCCAACTGCTATCCCTGGGGACATAAGCCCCTAGTCTGACTGGCAACAATACAACTCAGGAAGGCGTATCAAAGCCCAGCAGTCATGACCAGGCCAGGGAGCCCAGGGCTGAAGAACTGAACTGTTGCTAAGCCCTATATCAGTTGTCTATTGTTCCATTTTAAACCATCCCAAAACTTGATGGTTTAAAGCAACAAAGATGGCCAGGCATGGTGGCTCACACCTGTAATCCCAGCACTTTGAGAAGCTGAGGCGGGTGGATCACTTGAGGTCAGGAGTTCGAGACCAGCCTGGCCAACATGGTGAAACCCCGTCTCTACTAAAAATACCAAAATTAGCCGGGCATGGTGGTGCATGCCTGTAATCCCAGCTACTCGAGAGGCTGAGGCAGGACAATCACTTGAACCCAGGAGGCGGAGGTTACAGTGAACTAAGATTGTGCCACTGCACTCCAACCTGGGCAACAGAGAAAGACTCTGTCTCCGAAAAATAAATAAATAAAAATAAAACAACCAAGATGTGTTATTTGTCACAATTTTGTGGGTTGGCTGGGCTCAGATGGACAGTTCTTCAGTAATGCCAGCTGGGTTCACGCACGTGACTACATTTAGCTAGGAACTCAGTGGGATTTGAACATCAAAAATGGCTTCACTCTCATGTCTGGCAGTTGGTGCTGGCTACTGTAAGAATTAAAGAAAGACGAAAGAAACACGAAAGGTGGTTTGACAGTTAAGGACAGGTTTATTTTAGAGAAAACAAACCTGAGAGGAGCTTCTGGCCAAGTTAGGTCAGAGACACAGTCTTACAGACTGAGTATTTAAGGATTCAGGGCAGGAGAGTTTATCAGAGGCTTGGACTGCTTCTGTGTCTCTTTGTTGTGCTTATCTGGGAGGGAGAGTTTTGTGTATGTTCCCATACATCTTCCTGCACCTGCAGGCATACCCCTGAGTCTGCTTTTAGCTTCCCTATCTTAGTGCACCTGAAGGGAAAGGAATGTGCTTATTAAGGCCCACTGTTTTACTGGGACCCATTGTATGAGGGTGAAGCTTAGCTTGGCACTTACCCAAGAGACTTCCCCCTAACCTCCCTCTGTGCCCTAGCTGGTCTTATCTGTGTTTTACTGTCTGCTCTTTTTCGCTGCTTGTTGTTAGAAGAGAAGTGATTTCCTTGAAATGCATAAGGCTAGAAAGGGAGCTGGAACTTAAAGTGGCAGTGTTTGTCAGAGATGACAGTGCTCCTGCTCTGTCAGCTACCATCTGGGACACTTCGGTTGTCTGCCACATGGTCTTTTATCCTCCAGGGCCTTTTTCTACATGGTCTTTCCACCAGGATAGCCTGGCCATCTTTACATGGCAGGTGGCTTCCAAGAGAGCAAAATCGGAATTAGGTCAATAGACAAAGAATCAGCTGGATTTATTTATACTAGCAATGAATGCTTTGAAACTGAAATTTTAAAACCAGTACCACTAACAGTTCCAAAACATGAACTACTTAGGCATAAGCTAATCTACAAAACACTAACGAAAGAAATTTTAAGAGGTAAATAAATGGATACTCCATGTTCATAGATTGGAAGACTGGATGTTGTTAACACAACAGGTCTACCCAAATTGATCTGTAGATTTATGGAAATCCAGACAGTACCCTCATCAAGGGGGCAAATTGTTATAGATACTTACGAGCTGATTCTTAAAAAGGCAAAGGAACTAGAATAGCCAAACCAACTTTGAAAAATAAGAACAGCAAGTAAGTGGTTAAACAAATAGACACTACTGAGCAATACGAATAATTGAAAGACTAAGTACACAACTTGAATGAATCACAAAGTCATTCATTATTCTAAGTGAAATAAGCTAGAAGACTCAATTATTATTAATTATTATTATTATTATTTTTGAGACAGAGTTTCACTCTTGTTGCCCAGGCTGGAGTGCAATGGCATGATCTCGGCTCACTGCAACCTCTGCCTCCTGGGTTCAAGAGATTCTCCTGCCTCAGCTTCCCAAGCAGCTGGAATTACAGGCATCCACCACCACGCCTGGCTAATTTTTTTTTTTCAGATGGAGTCTCACTCTGTTGCCCAGGCTGGAGTACAGTGCTGCAATCTCGGCTCACGGCAACCTCTGCCACCCAGGTTTAAGTGATTCTTATGCCTCAGCCTCCTGAGTAGCTGGGATTACAGGTGCCTGCCACCAAAAATTAGCTGGGTGTGGTGGCACGTGCCTGTAATCCCAGCTACTCAGAAGGCTGAGGCAGGAGAATCGCTTGAACCAGGGAGTTGGAGGTTGCAGTGAGCTGAGATCACACCACTGCACTCCAACCTGGCAACAGACTGAGACTCCGTCTCCAAAAAAAAAAAATTGTATTTTTAGTAGAGACCGGGTTTCACCATGTTGGCCAGCTAGTCTCAAACTCCTGACCCCCTGATCTGCCCACCTCGGCCTTCCAAAGTGCTGGGATTACAGGCGTGAGCCACTGGACCCAGCCTCCAGCTAATTTTTTGTTTTTTAGTAGAGAGGGGTTTCACCATGTTGGCCAGGCTGGTCTCAAACTCCTAACCTCAGGTGATCCACCCGCCTTGGCTTCCCAGAGTGCTGGGATTACAGGCATGATCCATCGAGCCCGGCCAACATTTATACACTATATGATTCCATTTATATGTCATTCTGGAAGAAGCAAAAATATAAGTACTTTCTATAATCAGGACCATGTGGCTGGGCACAGTGGCTCATGCCTGTAATCCCAGCACTTTGGGAGGCCGAGGCAGGCGGATCACTTGAGATCAGGAGTTCAAGACTAGCCTGGCCAACATGGTAAAACCCCGTCTCTACTAAAAATACAAAAAATTAGCCGGTGTAGTGGCATGCACCTGTAGTCCCAGCTACTCAGGAGGCTGAGGCAGGAGAATTGCTTGAACTCGGGAGGCAGAGGTTTCAGTGAGCCAAGATAACGCCACTGCACTCCAGCCTGGGCAACAGAGCAAGACTCCAACTCAAAAAAAAAAAAAAAGGTCATGTGATATTGAGTATAAGATAGATAGAGAGGCCACCGTGCCCGGCCCAGTGTCTTTAATAGAGCAAAAAAGAGACCTATACACATAATGGTCAATTGATTTTTGACAAAGGTGCAAAGGCAACTAAATAAAAAAGTGATAGACTTTTTGACAAATGGTGCTGGAACAATTGGACATAAATATGCAAAAACATGAATCTCGACCTACAACTCACACCTTATACAAAATTTTTAAAAATGCATTACAGATCTAAATGTAAAAGGTAGAATTAGAAAACTTTTAGAGGAAAATATAGGAGAAAATTTTAATAATCTTGGATTAGGCAAGGAGTTTTTAGTAGGACAACAAAAGCACACTGTGAATAAGTTAGACTTAACATTTTTTGCTCTATTAAAGACACTGGGCCAGACACGGTGGCTCACGCCTGTAATCCCAGCACTTTGGGAGGCTGACACAGGTGGATCACTTAAGATCAGGAGTGTGAGACCAGCCTGCCCAACATGGTGAAATCCTGTCTCTACTAAAAATACAAAAATTAGCTGGATATGGTGGCACATGCCTGTAGTCCCAGCTACTTGGGAGGCTGAGGCAGGAGAATTGCTTGAACCTGAGAGGCAGAGGTTGCAGTAAGCCGAGATCACACCACTGCACTCTAGCCTGGGTGACAGAGCGAGACTCCATCTCAAAAAAAAAAAGACATTCTAGAGAACACAAAAATATAGAGGTATAGAATAGATCAGTAGTTGCCAGGGGTTAAGGATTGACAGAAGGTTTGACTACAAAGAGGTTACATAAGGGAATTTCAGGGAATGAGATCACCATTTATATTCTGGTTGTGTAAGTAGTTACACAACTCTATGTATGTGTCAAAATCACAAAATTATACAATAAAAGAGTAAATTTTACTGTGTTGAAATTTAAAAATAGGACAGGCGCGGTGGCTCATGCCTGTAATCCTAGCACTTTGGGAGGCCAAGGCGGGTGGATCACCTGAGGTCAAGAATTTAAGACCAGCCTGGACAACATGGAGAAACCCCATCTCTACTAAAAATGCAAAAATTAGCCAGGCGTGGTGGCAGGGGCCCATAATCCCACCTCTTGGGAGGCTGAGGCAGGAGAATCGTTTGGACCCAAGGGGCAGAGGTTGCAGTGAGCTGAGATCACGCCACTTCACTCCAGCCTGGGTGAAAGAGCGAAACTCCATCTCAAAGAAAGAAAGAAAGAAAGAAAAAATTAAAAATAAATAACATATAAAACTCAGCCATAAAAAAATCTAGTCAGGCCCGGCGCGGTGGCTCACACCTGTAATCCCAGCACTTTGGGAGGCTGAGGTGGGTGGATCACAAGGTCAGGAGTTCAAGACCAGCCTGGCCAACATGGTGAAACTCTGTCTCTACTAAAAATACAAAAATTAGCTGGGCATGGTGGTGCATGCCTGTAATCCTAGCTACTCCAGAGGTTGAGGCAAGGGAATAGATTGAACCAAGACCTGGGAGGTAGAGGTTGCAGTGAGCCAAGAACGCACACTGCACTCCAGCCTGGGCTACAGAGCGAGACTCCATCTCAAAAAAAAAAAAAAAAAAAAAAAAAATCTAGTCAACATTCCTCCAGACCCACCCTGGAGTGGACACCAAGTATCATCCTCATAGCAAACAATTTTTTTTAAATGTTCAACCTCCTCATTAATTTAAAAATGATAATTTAATCAAAGCAATACCATTTGCCTCCCCATTATATAGATTGCAAAACTTGTAATAATACCCAGTATTGGCAAAGGTATGATAAAGTGGGTACAATCAAATGCAACGAGTTGGCATGTGAATTGGTACAGCCGTTTTGGAAGGCAATATGGCAACATGTATCAAAAAGCCTTAAGTGTTCTTACTTCTTGGAAAAATAAAGCCACTTCTAGGACTCAGTCGTCATGAAATAATCAGAGATTCTGATGAGGAACATTATCTTTTCTGCATTGAAATACTGTCTCCCTCATTACAGGGATAGACGTGCAGCGGGTCCCAAATAAATGCTGCTAACTTTCTGGATGGCAACTAACTTCTATACAACATCTTGCTTCCAGCCAGGAGTCTGGTTGGAAGAGAAGCCTTCTACCTCCTGGGCCTCTTTGGTCAGGATGCTGCCTTCTGTGTATCTTTCATTGTGAATGACTAAAGTGACAATTATATGCCCAATGATTTCATAAGCAATACCTCTTACCATGCCCACAGAGAGAGTAGGGGTTCTTTTTCCAGACTGAGTACCTCGTAAAAAAACAAACCCAGGAGACCAGATGAGATAGAATCAAAGAGGCAAGAAAGTCAGTTCAGTAGATGCTGAGAACTGCTGGGAAATCCAGGGAATTCAGGCTGCAAGGCTGTCCAGGCTGAGCCCAGGCTACACTGACAGACTCAGACAAAAGCTGATTTCTAAGGAGACCTGTGAATTCAGGAAGATAGCTCAGCTTGGCTCAACATTCAAGAGAGAAGAGAAACATCCTGCTCAGCAGCCAGAGAAAAAAGGGCTTAGCTGAGAAATGCCAGGCACTAGCTTTTGAATCATTGGGAAAACATGGTCACTTTAAGATGAAGAAAGACCCTGACACAGGACTGAGGGTCTAGGCCTTGTCCTCAAGCCCCACCTGCAATCCCCATCTGCTCATAACAGCTATTCTCTTTGTCCTCAGCTATGTTTTGTTTTTTTTTTCTTTTTTTTTTTTTGAGACGGAGTCTCGCTCTGTCACCCAGGCTGGAGTGCGCTGGCACGATCTCGGCTCACTGCAAGCTCCCGCCTCCTGGGTTCACGCCATTCTCCTGCCTCAGCCTCCCGAGTAGCTGGGACTACAGGCGCCCGCCACCACGCCCGCTAATTTTTTGTATTTTTAGTAGAGACGGGGTTTCACCGTGTTAGCCAGGACGCTCTCGATCTCCTGACCTCGTGATCCGCCTGCCTCGGCCTCCCAAAGTGCTGGGATTACAGGCGTGAGCCACCGCGCCCAGCCGGTTCTCAGCTAATATTTTATTAATTCCTTTGCCCTATGCTGTTATATGGACACTGTAAATCCTCGTCCCAATCCTGGCTGTTTAGACAACCGCCTCTGCTCTGGCTATGGTGCTCCAGAGACCTCAGTCCTGATGTCTGGGCTCTCTCCTCTGTCCGCAGGCTCTCAGGCCCCACTCTATCCAGCATCTACTTCCCCTGCACATGCACACACACACCTCTCACTCCCTTAGTGGTTATAATAGGCACTGTGAGGGCTTAGTCCATGAGACTAAGTGATTAAGGAAGCAAGGAATCTTTTCATATTATTATCTCAAGTTGGAGAACTTTTTTTTTTTTTTGAGATGGAGTCTCACTCTGTCACCAGGCTGGAATGCAGTGGCGCAATCTCGGCTCACTGCAAGCTCCGCTTCCCGAGTTCATGCAATTCTCCTGCCTCAGCCTCCCAAGTAGCTGGGAATACAGGCATGTGCCACCATGCCCAGCTAATTTTTGTATTTTTAGTAGAGACGGGGTTTCACCATGTTGGCCAGGATGGTCTCGATCTCATAACCTCGTGATCCACCCACCTCGGCCTCCCAAAGTATTGGAGATTACAGGCGTGAGCCACTGCACCTGGCAAAATGGAGAACATTTAATTCAGTACGCTGACTCTAACAAGTGACCATTTCTAACACTGAGTGAGCACTCACTGTCTTCTAGGCGCTGTGCCAAGTACTCTACATGCATTATGAATTATTACAATTTAATCCACACAGCAACTCTGTGAGGTGGGAACTGGTACCATCATGATTAACATACTCATTTTGCACATAAGGAATGGTGGGCTCAGAAAGGTTAACCAATGTTCCCCGGACAATGGGGTTAATAAACAAACCAAAGCCATAACTTTGAACTCTTTCATTTAGCAAGTGTTAACAGAGTTCCCCCTATGTGTCAGACACTACTCCGCTAGGCACAGGCACTAGGCTATATTGGTAGACAAGACAGACTTAGCCACCACCTTCAGGAAACCCAGTATCTAGCAGATTAGGTAAACCTCAGGCCTCTACAGCTGCCCTAATTGGCCTCAGAGCCAGGATTCCAACTCATGTTTTCTACAACAAAGCTCAAACAATAACCACAACACTTCCTGCCTCTCTCTTACCGGAAATAGTGTCTCTGTGAGAAACTTGAAGTCTTGGAAGTTCTCAGGCTGAAGTCAAGCTGCATACCTGTATGACCTGACGTTGATGTTGAATTAAGTGCTGTGAATCAGGCTACTGGACACACGGAACCTTTTTTAATACTTTGCTCAAATGTCACTTTCTCAAAATGCTTTTCTAACTACTTGCCTCTTATCAGCATGGCTAACCCATCTTTCCCTGCTCGCTTTTTCATCATGCGTATAATCTTCTTTTATAATGTATTATTTATTTTATTATTATGCCTATTGCTTAGCATGTGCTTACTTGCACTTTTTTTTTTTTTTCTTGAGACAGAGTCTCGCTCTGTCGCCCAGGCTGGAGTGCAGTGGTGTGATCTTGGCTCTCTGCAACCTCTGCTGCCTGGGTTCCTCAGCCTCCCGAGTAGCTGGGATTACAGGCCTGCACTACCAGGCCCAGCTAATATTTGGATTTTTAGTAAGAACGGGGTTTCACCATGTTGGCCAGGCTAGTCTCGAACTCCTGACCTCAAGTGATCTGCCGGCCTCAGCCTCCCAAGGTGCTGGGATTATAGATGTGAACCACCATGCCCAGCCCTTTGCACTTTAATATAAAGTTCCCCCAAGGGCAGGGAATCCCTATCTGTTTTGTTCACTGATGTATCCCAGGGCCTAGACAGAGTCTGGCACACAAAAAGTACTCAGTAATTAATTTTTGTGTGAAACAATAAAGGTGAAGAGCATGTACGGGGTTAGCAGACAGATGGTGCTAATTAGGAATAAAGGATAGGGAAGGAAAACTGAGCTGGGAACTGAGGATAGAAGGGAACGGGGCAGTCAAGAGAGGTGTGCTGCAAGAACTGGAAGGGAGGGACCACACAAGCCCCAGCCTGAAAAACAGAAGACCCTGCAGGCGGTGGAGTGTTTATTCTTCTCTGTGCTCAGAAGCATGTCAGACATGTGAGAGCCAGGAAGCCAGGGTTGATCAGGAACTGTATGGCCTCCTGCACTCTGCAAGAATCCCAGGGAGTCAGGGGGTCAAACGAACAGTCAGGGATTGGGGATCAAAGCAGGCAAAGCTGAAATCCAGGAAGTCTGAGAGAGTAAGATAATGCTACCCATCCACCAAAACACAGAGAAGAGCCTAATCCTGGGGCAGCAACAGTGGAAACTAAGGTTTCTGTCAAGTTTTCTCCCAGGAGGTGTGTAGTCCATAGGGCTGCAGGAGTGGGCAGGGAAGAGAGTATGGTTAGTGGTAAGCTACAGCTGGAGAGAGCTGATTGTGCATTATCTCCTCCCAGATTCATGTTTAGTGTCTTCACATCTGTAGCTTGAAATTGGCCATGGCAGAAGTATTTACACCATGGAAATTGGCAAATGCTATATAAGTCAGGGATTGTTCGCTTGCTTGTTGGGCAGCTGGTTGTTAAATACTTACCAGCACACTGCTGGCATAGTTTACTATAGAACTGAGGCTGCGGGAAGAACTCTGTTCTTGGCTGAAAAAAGAAGGCACTAGAATTGCAGGTAGGTACTTAGGCTAAGGTGTACCCCATGGAAAGACACCTATGCCCTTGGGTAACTGCAGACAGAGCAAAGAGCCAAACTTAATAGATCCCTTCCCAGGGGTTCTTCTGTTCACTATAGAATTTACATGGGGATTCTTTCTCTTAAGTTTGGAAGCCAGAGACTCATTTGAATCCATTTATTCATTCGTTTGACAGGTACAAATAGAGGATCTGCCATGTTGCAGGTTAGTAGCTAGACCATAGAGAAGACAGACTTGTTCCTGCCCTCATGGAATGTGTTGCCTAGCACAGAAGTCTACAAATCATGGCCTAAGGGCCAAATGTAGCTCAGGACCTCTTTCAGTAAACAGTCCTCAAGTTAAGGATGGTTTTTACATTGTTAAAGGGTTGTGAGGAAGAACAAAAGGAAGGAGGAGGAAGATGAGGAGGAGGAGGAGAAAGAGGAGTGAGAGAGACCATGGGTGGTCTACAAAGCTTAAAATATTTCCTATCTAGGCCTTTACAAAAAAAGTTTGCCAACTCTTGGTGTAGCAAACTAGACAAACCTTACTCCTTTACAGCCACCCTAATTGGCCATTAAAAGAACAACGTTTGGCCAGGCACGGTGGCTCATGCCTGTAATCCCAGCACTTTGGGAAGCCGAGGCGGGTGAATCACCTGAGGTCAGGAGTTTGAGACCAGCCTGGCCAACACGGTGAAACCCTGTCTCCACTAAAAATACAAAAAAATTAGCCAGGCATGGTGGCAGGCACCTGTAATCCAGCTACTCAGGAGGCTGAGGCAGGAGAATCACTTGAACCTGGGAGGCAGAGGTTGCAGTGAGCCAAGATTGCACTCCAGCCTGGGTGACAAGAGCAAAACTCTATCTCAAAAAAAATAAAAAAAAAAGCAATGTTCGGGCCAGGACTTACCTGAGGAAAGGACCAGGAGTAGGTCAGGTGACACTAACACAAAGAATGAGGCAGCCGGGTGCGGTGGCTCACACCTGTAACCCCAGCACTTTGGGAGGCCGAGGCGGGCAGACCACTTAAGGTCAGGAGTTCAAGACCAGCCTGGCCAACATGGCAAAACTCCATCTCTACTAAAAATACAAAAATTAGCCGGGCGTGGTGGCAGGTGCCTGTAATCCCAGCTACTCAGGAGTCTCAGGCAGGAGAATTGCTTGAACCTGGGAGGTGGAGGTTGCAGTGAGCTGAGATCATACCACTGCACTTTAGCATGGGCAAAAAAAGAATGAGGCTGGACATCTCCTGGGTTATAACTGAGTAACCAACTAGAAATATGTGTTTGCAAGTATTTGACTGTGTGGACCACAGCATGAGACTGAGGTCTAAAAGTTGAGTTCCAGGAGAGGGAAGGTCAGGGGTTAGTCCAGGAACACAGGAGGGAACAAAGTCAGAGGACCCTTACTGGAGTCAGTAATGAAGGTAGAGAACAATAGCAACAGCAAACACTTCTAGAATGCCTGCTGCGTACCACGTGCTGTTACAAGCACATTACTCATATTAACACATCTAATTCTCCTAATAGCCCTATGAAGTTGGTCCTGTTATTATTCCTGTTTGACAGATGAGGAAACTGAGGCACAGGTAACAAAGTCTTTTGCCACCAGTGACACAGCTACTAAGTAGTAGAGCCAGGATTTGAGACCAGGTAGTATGATTTCAGGATCCATATTCTTAACCACTACACTCCACTGCAATACACTACAGACAGACTGGTGAGGGAAGGTAGGAAAGCAGGTCTTTTTATTTCTAGTTAAGTCTTTTGCTGGGCCCTGTGTCTGTGATTTGTTCCGGAGTAGAGAAGGGACTCTGTGCTTTCTCAAAAGAAGCAATTTCAAAACATGAGACTCTAAGGAGCAGGTCTGATAAACTGCACTTGAACCCAGAGGATGACCAGAGAAAAGCAGGGTACCAACCACAGTCAGGCCACCATGCATATTTCCCCAATCCTGTGACAAACAGGACTGAGCCTGCTCTGTGCCAGGCTCTGTCCTGGATGCTGCAGGGACAGAGATGAGACAGACTCAGCCTCGAGGGGCGGCAGCCATGAGTAAACAGGCTATGCTTAGTAGAGTCTGGATTAAGACCCACACAGCACCCATGGGGGCTCCGTGGAGAAAGCAGCTCCAATCCCAAGGGAGCTGCACCTATAAGCTCGAAGCCAGGTGCCAGGGAGGGATGTGGAGCATGGCCTGATCAGCATCACTTGGATGAAATTCCCTTCAGAATAGGTGACAAAAAGAAAGGGCTCCATAGACAAGTCAAGGGACCACTGGAGAGCCCAATAAACATCAATATGCAGAAGAGAGAAGCAACAGTATAAATCCCAAAGTAAATGCTAAGTCTAAAGCCAGATAAAAGGCCAAGCAGGTGTTAGCAATGGCATGGCGGGCATCTGGGAAGGCCAGATCAGTAGCAGAGGCCAGAGCCAAGCAAGCAGAAATGGAACAGAGTGACCCAGACATGTTTGTCTGGGTCTTTATGCTACACCGCCTTCCCTACCTCACAGCTTTATTCTTGATTTATCTCCCACAGCTGACTCTCTGCCAGCCTTGTGCATCAGGAACTTATTAACACTGGTGCCTTCTAGAACTGGGGAAGATCCATCCAGAGTTAGGCTTTTTTTTTTCGAGAGAATCTTGCTCTGTCACCCAGGCTGGAGTGTAGTGGCATGATCTCAGCTTACTGCAACCTCCACCTCCCAGATTCAAGTGATTCTCCTGCCTCAGCCTCCCAAGGAGGTGGGACTACAGGTGCCGCCACCATGCTGGCTAGTTTTTTTTATTTTTAGTAGACACAGGGTCCATGTTGGCCAGGCCAGTCTCAAACTCCTGACCTCAGGTGATCTGCCTGCCTCAGCTTCCCAAAGTGCTGGGATTACAGGCGTGAGCCACCGTGTACAGCAAGAGTTAGGTATTTTCTGCTAACGTTCCTCCTACCTCCTCTTCCCCGCCAGCCAGCTGACTTTCCCAAGATGAGCTAATGGCCTTCCTTTAAAAGAAATAGTGTCAGGCTCCTTTTCTAACTCACATTTTTCCCTAGCATCATTCCATCCAGAGCTTAAGGTTGCTGGTGACCTGGTGGTGTTGGTGACTTCACCATTCTCCCTCTGGGAAATGAAGTGACTCAACAGTCACAAACGCAAAGATAACAGTGCCATCAGCGGTTCCTTGCAGAGCAAAGAAATGCCAGGGTTATTAGGTGTCTGAATAAAGCTGAAGGTCCTGAGGTTAACATAGCAAGAAAAAATGACAGTGTAGAGTTGCAGGCTATTCCAACAATTATCAAGTTCCCAGGAGCAACTCTTAATAAAGGCTTCCTGACTGTTGTGGCAATAGGAAGGGCAGTGTGCTAGACTACAGTTATTCCTTCCTGATTTCCAACATACCAATTTACATGCCTGTGGATGCAGTTGCTGGTATGCTATCATATTGGACATCTATAGGATTATTCGCCCCAAACCCTCTCCTCCTAGAAACTACTCACCCCACCCCTGTCCACACGGCGTGTTCGTTTATTTATTTATTTATTGAGATGGATTTTCACTCGTGTTGCCCAGGCTGGAGTGCAATGGCACGATCTTGACTCACCCCAGCCTCCGCCTCCCAGGTTCAAGCGATTCTCCTGCCTCAGCCTCCGGAGTAGCTAGGATTACAGGCATGCACTATCACACCCAGCTAATTGTGTATTTTTAGTAGAGACAGGGTTTCTCCATGCTGGTCAGGCTGGTCTTGAACTCCCAAACTCAGGTGATCTGTCTGCCTCAGCCTCCCAAAGTGCTGGGATTACAGGCACGAGCCACCACGCCTGGCCCACATGGCGTGTTCTTATCTGGTCTTGTCTTCTCTTTCCATGTTTGATTAGTTAAGTTTGGGTAGTTGACTCAAGGTGGGCCAATCAGAACCTTGCTTGGGATTCATCCCTACTAGAATAAAAGAATCAGTCTCCCTTTGGTGGTGGAAGTTGAAAGATGTAAACTTCAGGAGCTTTTAATAGCCGCATATACAACCATGAGAAGAAGGGCTATTTGCAGTTAGAGAAGGTGAAAGGGTAAAAAGAAGCAGAGGCTAGGGAGGTAAAAAAGAGCTATTGGCAGCATCCAAGTCTCGGGATCCAGTTGTTCCTGAGACCAAGTTGCAGCCATGCTTCCTGCAGTTTGGTTTGCAGGTATGATAAGCTACACCTGATTGTTTATTGGATTCCATGAGCAAGTACATTTGCGTTTTTTGCCTAAGCTGCTTCCAGCCTGAGATTCTTCTACTTGGTGATAAAGTGTCAGAGTCAATCTGCACTTCTGATGACACTATATGGTGGCATAAAAAAAGTAAAGTTCTCCAGAAGGGCCCCCTGGGAACTCCTAACTTTGCTATCATTGTCAGGGTATGATTAAAGAGGGTGTCAGTATGCAGTGGCAGGCTGTCCCCACCGCAGGCCGAACACACCAAACCCAACACAAGAGGAACAAGACAGCCACCATCTTCTGTATCTTTATCTACACTGGGCCTCTGCTTGCTCTAGCATCTCTCTAGCTTTTCATTTGTTCAGCCACTCCAACTGATGTCTAGTTGGTCTGTTTCTCTAGACTCTAACTTCCCGATTCATTCCTTGCTATTTCTCCCCTTTTAACATGCCCTCCAGGTATTCAATTCCAGTGTCAGAGGCGTGTGAACCAGAGCAACTCCATCTTAAATAAGAGCTGGGTGAAATGAGGCTGAAACCTACTGGGCTGCATTCACAGACGGTTAAGGCATTCTAAGTCACAGGATGAGATAGGAGGTCACACAAAATACAGGACATAAAGACCTGGCTGATAAAACAGGTTGCAGTAAAGGAGCCAGCCAAAACCCACCAAAACCAAAATGGCGTCAAGAGTGACCTCTGGTCATCCTCACTGCTACACTCCCACCAGCGCCATGACAGTTTATAAATGCCATGGCAATGTCAGGAAGTTACCCTATATGGTCTAAAAAGGGGAGGTATGAATAATCCACCCCTTGTTTAGCATATCATAAAAAAAAACCATAAAAATGGACAACCAGTAGTCCTCGGGGCTACTCTGTCTATGGGGTAGCCATTCTTTTATTCCTTTACTGTCTTAATAAACTTGCTTTCACTTTGCTCTGCAGACTTGCCCTGACTTCTTTCTTGCGTGAGATCCAAGAACCCTCTCCTGAGCTCTGGATGCGGACCCCTTTTCTGGTAACACCAGCAACCTAGGCAGCCAGCAACCTAAGTTTTGCCTCTGCCAGTCAGCATCAAGGGCTGAGCCTAGGTAAGCCCAGTGAATCAGTCAATGATAAATGGTATGGTATAGTCTAGAAATGCCATCAAAGGTCAGGAAAAGGAAAAATCAGTGTGGGGTACAAATGGCCTTGAATTTGGAGAGGTAGAAAGGACATTCTGGTCTGAAAAACATGAACAAAGACACTGAAGCAGCAAAGAGCATAGGGACAAAAGGAATGGAAAGAAAAAGTAAGCCTGGCTGGAGTGGCATGTTATCAGAAAGGAACCAGCATTAGGTAAATCTGAGAGATAAAAGGGGGTTAGATTACACAGCATCTTAAAAATCAGACAGAGGAGGTTAGACTTCATTTATAGGCAGATATTACAGTAGATTTTTGATCAGAAAAATTATACGAGGAATATGATACTTTAGCCATGCATTTCTTACACAGGATGAGAGAGAGAATATCTCCCTGGCTTACACAAAAGATAAAAGACACATGCCTGTAATCCCAGCATTTTGGGAGGCCGAGGCGGGTGGATCATGAGGTCAGGAGTTGACCAGCCTGGCCAACATGGTGAAACCCTGTCTCTACTAAAAATACAAAAATGAGCCAGCATGGTGGCGGGCACCTGTAGTCCCAGCTACTCGGGAGGCTGAGGCAGGAGAATGGTGTGAACCTGGGAGGTGGAGCTTGCAGTGAGCCAAGATCGGGCCACTGCACTCCAGCCTGGGCGACAGAGCGAGACTCTGTCTCAAAAAACAAATAAACAAACAAACAAGAGATAAAAGAAGAAATAATGCTTATTCTCTCTACCAAACACATTCTTCAGTTTCCTATAGGATCTGTCATTTCTTGTCTCGAGTCTTTTTGCTGTTGGGGCTGCTTTTTTAAAACTTAGTTGTGTTCAATTTAGAATTTATTTTTTTTTTTTTTGAGACGGAGTCTCGCACTGTCGCCAGGCTGAAGTGCAGTGGCACGATCTCAGCTCACTGCAACCTCCACCTCCTGGGTTCAAGTGATTCTCCTGCCTTGGCCTCCCGAGTAGCTTACAGGCATGAGCCACTGTGCCTGGCCCAATATAGAAATTTTTAAAATGCAGCCAAACAAAATTAAAAAATAAAAGTTTCCCCAAAATTTTACATACAAAGTAAGCATTAAGATATTTGTAGCTAGACAGAGTAGCTCATGCCTGTAATTCCAACATTTTGGGAGACTGTGGCACGAGGATTGCTTGAGCCCAGGAGTTCAAGACCAGCGTGGGTAATGTGGTGAGACTCCCCCATCTGTCACCCAGGCTAGAATGCAGAGGCTTGATCTTAGCTCACTGCAACCTCTGCCTCCAGGGTTCAAACTATTCTCCTGCCTCAGCCTCCTGAGTAGCTGCAATTACAGGCACACGCCACCACGCCCAGCTAATTTTTAAATTTTTTTTTAGTAGAAACAGGGTTTCGCCATGTTGGCCAGGCTGGTCTCGAACTCCTGGCCTCAGGTGATCCACACCCTCGGCCTGTCAAAGTGCTGGTGTTCTGATAGAAGGTGTCCAGGTTCTTGGGGTCTCAAACAAATAACTGGACAAAACTCACAAAGACAGGAAAGCAAATGCAGGGATTTATTGAGAACGAAAGTACACTCCACAGTATGGGAGTAGGCCTGAGCACAGGTGCTCAAGAGCCCCGCTCACAGAATTTTCTGAGGTTTCAATACTCTAGACGTTTCCCATTGGTTACTTGGCAAATATTCTATGTAAATGAAGAGAATGAAGTTAAGTCACAGAGTCGTTTACTCAGAATGCACCCTAGTGTAAATGGAGAGGATGTTACTTGGTGTATGTGATCTATGTAAATGGAGAGGATGAAGTGAAGTTACAAAGCCATTCACATTTCTGTCATTGCCGAAGTGCTTTTATTTGATTTACTTCTAGGAAGTCAGCGTGGATCAGCCTCATGTTCCCTATCTCCAGGCCCTATTCTCCTGCCTCGCTGGGATTACAGGCATGAGCCACTGTACACGGGCAAAAATTTTTTTGTTAATTAGCTGGGCATGGTGGTGCACACATGTAGTCCCAGCTATTAGGGAGGCTGAGAGGTAGTAGGATCACTTGAGCCCAGGAGGTTGAGGCTAAAGTAAGCCATGATCATGTCACTACACTCCAGCCTAGGTGACAGAGTGAGACCCTATCTCGAAAAGAATGAGTGAGAGATTTGCATACATCATTCCAGAATGATTCATAATACAGAATATGTTCACCAACATTTTTATTTATATTACATAAATAATCTTCTTTATGTTTAGCAATATATTTTCCATTGGTTGCTTTTGAGTGGTAAATTCCTCTTATTACATTTAAAATATTTGACTCACAAAAAAATTAATTAACATGTACCTTTTTAAGAATTTTATTCCATAGCTCAAACCAGCATTTTCCTAAATTTGTTCTATGTAAGGTTAGAGTTACAAGATATTCTGCCTCAAATAAGCAGGTTATGTTTAGGAAAGGCTATATCCCTTGTGGAAATTAAAGGCTTCTCAGTGTTCTCCGATTAACTGATCAAAGGTAAATGAAGTGTGCTCCAGGAAATGCCTTTTTAATGAAAATTCATTGATATTTGTATAACTCTGATAGAAAGTAACGGATTCAAAAACAGAGAGCTCGCCAGGTACAGTGGCGAGCTGTAATCCCAGCACCTTGGGAGGCCAAGGCAGACGGATCACCTGAAGTCAGGAGTTCAAGACCAGCCTGGCCAACATGGCGAAACCCCATCTCTACTAAAAATACAAAAATTAGCCAGGTGTGGTGGCGGATGCCTGTAATTTCCAGCTACTTGGGAGGCTAAGGCAGGGAGAATTACTTGAATCCGGGAGTGGAGGTTGCAGTGAGGTAAGATCGTATCACTGTACTGCAGCCTGGGCGATATCCTGCACCCATGGAAATAAATGAAAGAGCTTCCATTTGCTGGGACAGTTGTGATCTCCTCATCTTCCAGTGAGACCAGTAGTGGCCACGTGGCCACTCTACACTCCTTTTTTTTTATGAGATGGAGTCTCACTCTCTCTGTCACCCAGGCTGGAGCACAGTGGCACAGTCTCGGCTCACTGCAACCTCCCCCTCGTGGGTTCCAGCAATTCTCCTGCCTCAGCCTCCTGAGTAGCTGGGATCATACATGCGCCACCACGCCCAGTTAATTTTTGTATTTTTAGTAGAGACGGTGTTTCACCATGTTGGTCAGGCTGGTCTCGAACTCCTGACCTCGTGATCCGCCTGCCTCGGCCTCCCAAAGTCCTGGGATTACAGGTGTGAGCCACCGCGCCCGGCCACTGTACACTCATTAGAGACCAGAATTCAAGCATCTGTGTGAGGTTGGATATGTAATTGTCAAAGTCCTTTTCAACCTTGAGACTCTGAATTTTAATTGAGAGCATTAAAAATCTTGTTTTAGATCCAATCACTCCTTTGCCAGCATGGAGCAAGTCATCCAGGTGTCAGTTGCTTCATCTGTGAAACAAAGGGTCTTTGTCTGAGGCCAGGGTTGTCATCTGATGCTGGGTCACAATCTCTAGATCCCCTTGGGGTCCCGCCCAACAGTGACATACTCATGCCCTATTCTTTCTCTTTATTGAGAAGGAAATAGTATAAGCAAACAAAATCATCAAGAGTTGCTTACATATGCACACAGAACATGCACCAAACAGCTGGAAAACAAAGAAAGTAGGTGAAAGGTGAAGTTGTTTTGCTGAATGGGTGTCAGAGGTTGGTTTACAAATCCACAGGGAGGACCAGAGCTCCGCTGATGCTAACACTTGCTCTGAAAAATCTGTTCGCAGAACTCCTAGCGGCCCCGCCTCCCTCCCCACAGCTGGCTTCTTCTGAAAGGCCTAGAGGCAACTAAAGTCTGAGTTTTTATGTTTTGTAAGAAAACAAAGGGAAGTCTAAAAATGTAAAAAAAGAAAAAAGAAAAAACCTTCAGCTGTTCCAATGTAGCCCCACGAGATTGGTTTCTCTGAACTCTGACGGGTCTTGTTGTTTTGTGTGTTCCTCAGAGCCCAAAGAAAACCAACTCCAGGCAGGGTGCAGTGACTCTCGCCTGTACTCCCAGCACTTTGGGAGACCAAGGTGGGTGGATCACCTGAGGTCAGAAGTTTGAGACCAGCCTGGCCAACATGGTGAAACCCCATCTCTACTAAAAATACAAAAAACTTAGCTGGCCGTGGTGGCAGGCGCCTATAGTCCGAGCTACTCAGGAGGCTGAGGCAGGGAAATTGCTTGAACCCAGAAGGTGGAGGTTGCGGTGAGCCGAGATCACGCCATTGCACTCTAGCCTGGGCGACAGAGACTCCATCTCAAAAAAAAAAAAAAAAAAAGAGAAAACCAATTCCATTTTCCTCTTTCTTCCTGGTGTTGAATGACAAAGGGAAGCTAAGGGGCGTTTTCTTCTATCTGGCATACTTTGCAATGTAGAATAAAATAACTTTGAGTTGTGGTCGCTTCTTGAGGTGACCCTCCACCCATCCTCCAGGCAAAATATCACAAAGACCAACAAAACCTGAAACTGAGAAAGATACAGAGCTGATTCCCTGGCTGACTCAACGCCCTGAGACAGGCACTCGCCTCTGAAACCTTCAGGGCTCCTCACTAACTGCAAGACCATGCTCACTGCTCATGTTTGAATGAAGTATACAAATTCAATAAGCAGTCTATCATTTTTGGTGGAGTGACAAGGTCTATTGTTCCCTTGGTGCTGTGTCTCTTTCCATAGAGGCTATAACTTTAACCTACTATAAGGTTAGTTGGTCCTGTCACTGTAATTTCTTTGTGTCTATTTTAGAGAGAACCGACCATGCTTGTGTTATTTGTAGTGTCTGAGGCAGAGAATGGCTCTCCCCAAGCCCCAAGAACCAGCGTAGGACAGTTCTTTTTTTTTGAGACAGGATCTTCACACTGGCTGGAATGCAGTGGTGCAATCTCGGCTTACTGCAACCTCTGCCTCCTGGGCTTAAAGGATCCTCCCACCTCAGTCTCCTGAGTAGCTGGGACTACAGGTGCATGCCACCACACCCGGTATATATATATATATATATATATATATATATATATATATATATATATATTTTTTTTTTTTTAAATATAAAGACAACATTTCCCCATGTTGCCCAGGCTGGTCTCGAACTCCTGAGCTCAAGAGATCTGCCCGCCTCAGCCTCCCAAAGTGCTGGGATTACAGGTGTGAGCCACTGCACCCGGCCTAGGACAGTTCTTATGCCTGCTGGCTAATAAACATTCATAGCTTTAGTAAAATTTTGTCAAGACTGCACCTGGTGGAAAGGTTATAAGGAAAGGGACACATCACCCTCACTCTAACCACCAGAGGCAAGATACCTAATTCATTCTGGTTTTCCTAAGACTTTCCCAGTTTTAGCAGTGGAAGTCTCACGTCCCAGGAAACCCCACAATGCCAGACAAATCAGGGCATTGGTCACCCTACATATCTACCAAATAATTTAATAATTGCTGAATGCCAAATTAATTTTAGCCAGTATAAGACATCTGGTTTCCCTTAAAATAGCTTCTACCATGAAATAGGCTTACATTTCCAAAAAGGATGAAAGGAAAGATGAGATGTGGCGCCTTGCTACTCAATGTGTGGTTAAGAGATCAATTGCATTTACGCTACCCTGGAGTTCTTTCAGCTGTAGACTCTCGGGCCCCACCTCAGACCTACCGAATAAAAGTCTGTAATTTAACAGGGCCTCAAAATGAATTCTTGCACAAGGGCTCTGTTTACATTAAAATCTGTGATGAACCGGCCCAGAGGGAGATATCTCAGGGTGATTTTTAGCTGGGTCTTGAAGTCAGTAGGCATTAGTAGGCAGAGAGGGGTAGGAGGGAGCAGGGAACCGGAACCGGAAAACAAGGGCACAAAGGCAAAGAAAATGACAATGTGTTTATTAACCATGAGTGATTTGTTGTTTCTGGGAGTGAGAGATGGGAAATAGCCTGGGAAGGCAGGTTGGTGAGAAGACTGCAGATGCCCTTAAACTGTAGACTGGAGCAGTAGCTTTGTATCTTCCCTGCTCTCCTTCCTCTCAAGGCTCAGTCCTCTGCTAAACTGTTCTATCTTCTGAAATTTAGAACCCTTCCCTTCCCCTGGCTCAGACTGGCAGCAACTGGTGTCCCGAAGTAACAGCAGAGAAGGGGACGGCAGGCCCAGGGAGATCCTCCCCTAAGGAGAAATTCAAAGGCAAGCTCTTTTCTCCAGGGTCCTTTGAAGGGTCAGAGCCCTGGGCTCCTTAAGGAACTCAGTCTTTGACTGGGAAAGGCAGATAATACAGCCAGCCCCGAAAGGGATGCAGATCAAGGATCTCTATTTCTAGCCAAAAAGTTGGCAAAATGAAGAAATATGTGGAGCTCTGAGCAATATCTCTTTCATTCCGGGACACAGTGTAAAGTAATGATTACTTAACCACTTTGTGCTCCAGGTTCTGAAATCACAAAACAGGAACCCTTGTATCAACCTCTAGGTTACTAGCATTCAGTGAGTTAATGCACGCAAAGCTCTTAGGACAGTGCCTAGATCCTACTAGGAACTCCCTAGAAGGTACTACCTGGATTAAACAATTGCCTTTATCATAATGCGAGAGTTGGAGGCATGGCTTGCTGAGTGAGGAGCTGGGTGGGGCAGCCAGCTTCCAAGATGAACCCCAGTGATCCCCATCTCCTGGTATTCACAGCCTTGTGCAGCACCCTGTACACATTGCAGCAGGGTTGGTCTGTGTGATCAGACCAGTATATGCAGGAGTGATGGCATGTCACTTCTGAGATTAGGTCATTTACAGACTGTGGCTTCCAGCTTGGGATCTCTTTTTCATTTTGGGGGATGCCAACCACTTTGGGGGAAGCCAGCTGCCATGTTGTCAGCCACTCTGTGGAGAGGTTCACATGGTGAGGAACTGAGGGAGACTCTAGCCAACAGCCAATGAGGAACTGAGATCTAGCAACCACCAAGTGAGTGAGCTTAGAAACAAATTCTCCAGCCCTGAGATGACTGCAGCCTGGGCTGACAGCTTGACAGCAGCCTCGTGAGAGGCCCTGAGCCAGAATTACCCAGCTAAACCCCTCCCAGACTGCTGACCCATAGAAAATGTGTATAATAATAAATCCTTGCTGTTTTAAGCTGCTAAATTTGGGGGTAATCTATCATGCAGCAAGAAATAATTATATCACTGGGCTTGGTAAAAATATACACACCATTATGGGGAAGGGTCCAAGAAAACTGGCCTAAATATGCTCAGGCTTTACTCCACAGATGCAACCAGGAGGTCCAGAATCTGTGCCTGAGAAGTCTTGAACAGAATTTAAACAGTACGGCTGAGTGTGGTGGCTCAAGCCTGTAATCCCAGCTGAGGCAGGAGAATCTCTTGAACCTGGGAGGCAGAGGTTGCAGTGAGCCAAGATCACACCACTGCACTCCAGCCTGAGTGATAGAGCGAGAATCAATCTCAAAAAAAACAAACAAACAAAAAACAGGAGTTTAAACTGTAGACAATTTACTCAAGACAGAACCAGGTGACCTGTGGCCAGCAATGGAGACTCCAACCTGGTATCACTGCTTAGAATCCACAAAAGTGACCACTGACAACCCACCCAAAAAAACCTCTGCAGCAACTGCGCTAGTCCTAGAAAAAGGTCTGGTTCAACCGTGTAAGACAGCAGGGCTCTGGCCTCCGCTTTGAGGTCTAGCACATTACTCCTACTCTGAAGTTAGAAATAAAACCACAGTGACTAAGGGATAGATGAGTTCTGCAGGCTGAGCCAAACCAGGAATGGATACCAAATTTATGACATATTTTAAATATATTAAATTAATGCTTTTAACAGCGAAAAAAAAAACCCAAACATGATATAATTATTCCATTGACAAGACACTTTTAAGATTTGTTTTTAAAATAACTTATAGTACACTGTTGTCAAAATGACCAGTAATGCGTCACAAGTTCATGGTTGTGTAATGAATGTGATCTTCTTATCCTGTATCTTCGTGTGAATAACCACATTTGGAAAGAACCCCAAAAGTCTAAATTTGAGTTTCTTTATGAAGGAGAACTGCCACCCCCAATAATCTCTGGGAAGGAGGCTGGCAAAGAAGCCTCGTAACTCCTGGGCTATGTGATATTGAGTGAAGGAGGGTGACCTTTGAGAAAAAAACTGGAGTCTGATTTGTACCAAAGGAAATCTAGGAATTAGAGCAGAACTGCGTGCTGTTGCATCTGAGAGCGTCGCGCATTTCTACGTACTTGCACTGAGGGGAATGTTGGCTCATAACTGGGTACGTGGCTGAGCCCAAGAGATACCCGACAGCACCCCACCAGGAGGAAGCAGAAGCCAGGGATCTGGGAGGGTAACAGCCATTTGTGAAGAAGGAACTTAGCCATGGATGATACCATTTCATATCTTCCAGAACTTTCATACACATTGTTGGCCCCCCTGTGAAGGAGGGAGCCATTTTTAAAAACTAGGGCTCTGAGGTTTTTTGGGAATAAGTTCCCAGATGTTTTCCAGGTCCTGAGCAGCCCTGGCCTTCAGGCTCCCCGAGGCTGCCAGTTCAGTCAACTTCATGCTGCCTTCACTACCTGGCTCCAGGTCCTACAGGATGAAGTGCCACGACAGTGTGCATCCCCAGGCCTTTCTCTCCACTGCGCCAGTGCCCCTCTCAATACCCACCAGTGGGGCAGGAAAACAGAGCAACACTTGAGCTGCACAACTAAAGCCTCAGGTGTCCAATCACCCCTGTGACACATATAGGGCTGCTCTCTCCGTTTATGTAACCTAATCCTTCCCACCATCCCTCCTTCCATCGGCTTCCTCTCATGTCCTGTTCCAACTCAAGCAGAGGAAGAAGGTGCACAACGACAGAGTAAATGCTGGGGCCATGGCACACACAGCACTGGGCTTGGATTCCTCAAGCTGCAAGGGACCTTGACACTTTCTTCTTTGCCCAGTCTCTCTGTCCCCTTTGTTCCCTAGAGAAGCAACTTTATAACTGATCATGATAATGGAAACTAGTTTTTCAAAAAATTAAACATAGACTTATTGTTATGTACCACATAAGGACGTTTTGTTTGACAACAGACTACACATACCACAATGGTCCCATGAAATTATAATACCATATTTGTACTGTACCTTTTTTATGTTTAGATATGTCTAGATACACAAATACTTACCATTGTGTTACAGCTGCCTATAGCATTCAGTACAGCAACATGCTGTACAGATTTATAATCTAGGAGCAATAGGTTACACCATAAAGCCTAGGTGTGTAGTAGGCTTTACCATGTAGGGTGCATCTTTGTGTAAGTGCACCCTACAATTGCACAATGACAGAATTGCATAATGATGCATTTGTCAGACTGTATTTCAGTCAATAAGTGATGTATGACTGCACCATATCATCCAGCAATTCTACTTCTGAGTATACACCCAGAAGAATTCAAAGCAGGGACTTGAACGATATTTGTACACCTATGTTCATAGCATTATTCATAATAGATGGAAGCAACTCAAGTGCCAGTCAACAGATGAACAAAATGTGGTTTATACATATAAACAAAATGTGGCATACACATATAATGAAATATTATAAAGCTTTAATAAGGAAGAAAATTCTTTTTCTTTTTTTTGAGACAGAGTTTCACTCTGTCACCCAGGCTGGAGTGCAGTGGTGCGATCTTAGCTCACTGCAATCTCCACCTCCCAGGTTTAAGCGATTTTCCTGCCACAGCCTCCCGAGTAGCTGGCATTACAGGCACACACCACCATGCCCGGCTAATTTTTGTATTTTTAGTAGAGACAAGATTTCACTATGTTGGCCAGGCTGGTTTCAAATTCCCCACCTCAGGTGATCCACCCGCCTAGGTCTCCCAAAGTGCTGGGATTACAGGCGTGAGCCACCAGCCCTGGCCAGGAAGAAAATTCGAATACATGCCACAGCATGGATGAACCTTGAAGACATTATGCTAAGTGAAATAAGCCAGTTGCAAAAGGACAAATATTGTTTGTTTCTACTTATATGAGGTTCCTAGAGTAGACAAATTTACAGAGACAGAAAGAATGATAGTTGCCAGAGGCTGGAGGGAGGGAGAAATGGGAGTTATTGTGTAATGGGTATGAAGTTTCAGTTTGGGAAGATGAAAAAGTTCTGGAGATGGAGTGGTGGTGACTGTTGAAAGACAATGTGAATATACTTAATACACTCAACAGTACACTTAGTGGTTAAAGTGGTAAGTTTAATGTTATGTATATTTTACCACAATAAAGAATAGTGAAAGCTAACGTTTATTGAGTGCTTACAATGTACTAGGAACAGTATGCTAAGAGATATAAACACATTGTGTCATTTAATCCTCACAACAACACTTCTTTTGAGAGCAATGCTACTAAGGGCACCAAGGTTCTTTATAGCTTAGCAGAGCTCCTAGGAGTTGTCACACACTAATGGTGGGGGTCAGCGGGGAGAGGACCATTCCCCCGGTCAGAAGTCCTATCTGTCACTAATGTTCCTCAGATGCATGTTCTCTAAATCCTTCAAGCCTTTTGGCTTTCCAGAGCCTCCTATCATACATCCTGGGATCTGGACTTGATGGGCTGGGTCAGGAGAAGAGAAAAGAAAATAGAGTGATGATGCCTTTTGGGAAAGCAATGATAGACTTCCCCGCAAGAAAGTTTCCGGGGCATCTTTGTAGTTGCTGACATTTGAAAATACATCATTCCTTGCTACTTAACGTAGTCATTAACTATGGAATGCTGATCAATCAAACACAGTGTGAATGGAGACTAACCGTGTGCAAAAGTCAGGGGTCGATCAGAGAAGCGGAATGATGATAGGTAATGTAGAATAAAGAATTTATTATAGACATTAAGCTAACCTGGCATAGTACAAAGCCACCTCACTGTGTATCCCTAGCATAGCTGATCAATTTTGAGAATTTCACAAAAAAATTCTCTCTTTTCTTAAAAATTTTTTTGAGACGGAGTTTTGCTCTTTTTGCCCAGGCTGGAGTACAATGGCATGATCTTGGCCCACTGCAACCTCCGCCTCCCAGGTCCAAGAGATTCTCGTGCCTCAGCCTCCCAAGGAGCAGGGATTACAGGCATGCCCCATCACACCCAGCTAATTTTTGTACCTTTAGTAGAGACGGAGTTTCACCATGTTGGTCAGGCTGCTTTTGAACTCCTGATCTCAGGTGATCCACCCTTCTGTGCCTCCTAAAGTGCTGTAATTACAGGCATGAGCCACTGAGCCCGGCCTCACCAAAAAAAAACTCTTATTCCATATACTAAAACCCAAGTGGTATCTCTGGGAAGCCTTTGCTTTGGTCCTTCGCTCTTGGGTATGTACCACACACCCCTTTGTACACATCTGTAATAGAACCCGTATCACTTGAATTCCAGTTATTTGTGTCCACCTCCTCTCTGGACTCTGTAAGCGCCTTCAGCCAGAATCTATGTTTCATTTCTTCGCATCTCCAGCTCCTGGCATGGTGCCTGTCATATATGAGATCAAACCATGGGAAACTGCTTCTATTTTATCATCTTTAATCCAAAAAAACGCAATTGCATAAATTCCAGAGTAATAGGAAGTTCTGGGCAAACATTTGCCAAATAAATGAACACGGAACAATCACATACCCACAAATCCTGATTAAGCATCAAAGAACGGAAGCGCTTTAGGTTTTCTTGTGGCCTTGGGCTCCTTACCACATGCCTCAATTATCCTTGCACTCTTAAACATGGTGGTGCCATGAGAGATTCCCAACAGGTCAACACACAGCTCTTGTATCATTTTCTTCTTTCGGGAGGCTGGCAGTATCTCCCCACAGAAGAAGAGTGATCTCTAACAGGTCAAATGCATGGTTTTCTGCACTGTGTTTATGATTCTGGAGGCCGGCAGTTTTTCCATTCAGCTGATAAGTGGCAGATCCCGGGATGGATGAGATTAGCATCTGGGATGGCAAGTGTCCAGGATGGCTCAGAAGTAGCTGCCAAACTCCACTTGACTCTCAGTCCCAGCATCACAGGGTGGCAAGTTGCTGCAGAGGCCATGGATCTCAACCATGTATCATTTGGAAGTGAAAACTAACAGATGCGAAATAGCTTTTTAAAAATCAAGACATGGCCAGGGATGGTGGCTCACGGCCATATTCCCAGCACTTTGGGAAGCTGAGGCAGGAGGGTCGCTTAAGCCCGGGAGTTTAAGGCTGCAGTGAGCCATGATGGCACTACTGCACTCCAGCCTGGGTGACAGAGCAAGACTCTGTCTCCAAAAAATAAATAAATAAGAAAAAGAAAGCAAGAACGGATAGAGGTGGCTGGTTACAGACTCTTCATCCCTAGGCAGTTGTGCCTTCCAAAACACAGCCTTTGGCTTCACTGTATCTGGCCCACTGTCAGAGGCTAAAATTCAGTGTGAGGTTTGTCAGGCTCCATCATCCAAATGGATCCCAGTGGCCACCATTCACAGTTGCAGAGAGGCCTGAATTAGTGTTTCAGAGAAAGGTAGTTCTGGAACTTCAGAAAGAATTAAGCTTCAAAAAAATTTCATCCATACAGAGATACTTCTGCCTGGGTCCAGCCCTGCAATTCCCTAAATTCTGGCCCTCCTCTCCCTCCCACTTCCTGTTCCTTGGTCCAGGCTCCCCTGACCTTCCCTGCCCTCTGCCCTTGGTTACCTGATGATCCAACTCTAGGCCTCCACCCTGGGTGCTACCTCTTGGGCCTGCCCTAGGAATGGAGACAGGGAAAATGAGCTAAGAGGAGTTGATTGCCTTATATAGGTTACCTCACTTCAGCCTCACAAGGAAATACTGAGAGGTTAGGGTTATTATCTTCCTTTTAAAGATTAAGAAAGAGCCAATCAAAGAAGTTAGGTAATCTGCCTAACACTACAGAGTGGCTAAGAGATGAAAAAGGAATCAAAACCCAGGTGTGTCCGACTCCAAAGCCCATGCTCTTTGCAACATGCCACACTGCCTGTCTCCCCTGCTACCTTTCCACCTTCCCTTGAGTCTCATGTGCATATCCTGCGCCCCTGATATTCATTCTGATGCCCTCTTCAACCTACAATTCATCCCTTCACCTCCAGCAACATCCCTCCTCCCAGGCTCCGACTGACTCAGAATGATTTCGAAGACAGAAGAGCTGCCCACCATTTGTAATCCACAAATGAAGCGAGGGCACATCTGATCACACCTTACCTGCCTTCTCTGAGTCTCCACTGCTTCAGGAAGGGTCCAAATATCTCATCATGACATAAATGCCACTAATAATGCAGCCCTTACCAGTCCCTCTGGCATCACCTCTCAACTGGTCCTTCTCTCTTCCCTTTTTAATTTTTTTTTTTTTTTTTTTGAGATGGAGTTTTACTCTTGTTGCCCAGGCTGGGCATTAGGCTAAAAAAAGAAGCCAGTCACAAAAGCCACTTATATGATTCCATTCATATGGAACATCCAGAATAGGCAAATCTAGAGACAGAAAGTAGAGTAATGACTGCCAGGGGATAGGGGAAGGGAAAATAGGGAGTGACTGCTAATAGGTATGGAGCTTCTTTTTAGGAGTCATGAAAATATTCTGGAATTAGATAGTGGTGATGATTGCACAACTTTATAAATACACTAAAACCACTTAGCTGTATGCTTTAAAAGAGCAAATTTTATGGTATGTAAATTATATCTCAATAAAACTGATGTATTTTAAACATATTTTAAAAGTGTTTATTAGGAATCAATATCTGTGAAAGAAAGGAGGAGGAGGCAGGATTGGGCAGAAGAGTTTGACCTGTGATGCAGGCCCACTAAAGCCACAACTAACCAGGGAGGGAGCTCTGGAGCAAGTATGCCCATCAGAGTGTCTCCCATCAGGCTGAAATGGCCCAGCCTTTATGCCTCTACCCTGCTCAGTCACCGGCTGTGGGCTCCCCAGAGAATAGCATGACCCTGGGCAAGGCAGCTCTCCCTGCTTGAATAGACCCTGAAGCTGCTGGACAGCTGGAGGCTGTCTGCAAACCCACTCCCTGGACATGGGCAGCAAGTCCTTCTTAAAAGGGGTCTGAGTGGTGTAAATGTCCACTAGAAAGGAATGTGACAGTTGTTTCAGGAAGGAAAGAGAAGTTGACAGAAGAAAAAGGAGTGAGATAGAGCCAGAGAGATGGCAGGAAGCTGTGCATTATGCAATGGGATCCCACCTCACGGATCATCATCTTCACCTGAGTTAAGATGCAGAGTACAGACTCTCAACATTTTGTCAAATAGGTAATTCTCTCTTTTTATTTTTTTCTTTTTTTTTGAGACAGAGTCTCACTCTGTCACCCAGTTTGGAGTGCAGTGGTGCGATCCTGGCTCACTGCAACCTCTGCCTCCTGGGTTCAAGTGGTTCTTGTGCCCCAGCCTCCTGACTGCCTGGGATTACAAGCGTGCACCATCACACCTGACTAATTTTTTTTTTTTTTTTTTTTTTTTTTTTGGAGACAGAGTCTCGCTCTATCCCCCAGGCTAGAGTGCAGTGGTGCGATCTTAGCTCACTGCAACCTCCACCTCCCAGGCTCAAGCGATTCTCATGCCTCAGCCTCCCAAGTATCTGGGATTACAGATGCCTGCCATCATGCCCAGCTAATCTTTGTATTTTTAGTAGAGGTAGGGTTTTGCCATGTTGGCCAGCTGGTCTCGAACTCCTGACCTCAAGTGATCCACCCGCCTCGGCCTCCCAAAGTGCTAGGATCACAGGCGTGCACCACCACACCTGGCCGGTAATTCTCTTCTAACATTCTGTCTTTTCCTTCTTAGGCTCCCATTTCTCCCAGAACATGAGCTAGCTGCTGCATTCGCTCAACTAAATTTTTTTTTTAAGGTTTGTGAGGTGGGTATGGTGGTGCACATCCATAATCTCAGCTACTCAGGAGCCTGCAGCAGGAGGATTCCTTGACCCCAGGAGTTCCAGGCCAGCCTGTGTGACTTAGTGAGACCTTGTCTCTAAAAATATATTTTTATTTATAAAATAAAAAATAATAAAATTTTGTGGGGGAGAGAGCACCTCTTTTTCTTCACAAACATGTTAAAAGACATTACAATTAAGGTGTAATTTATAAATGATGATCAATACTGTGCTGAAGATCTACATGATGAACAAGAAGAGTAGTGAAGGGAAAACAAGACGAGTCCCGCCACCAAAACCAAGTTGGATTTAGTATCAGGTGTTTGGTCTACCAGCTTTTCATAAAAAGCACATCTGGATGCTGCAGGAAAGACTGCATTTCACATACACACTGCATCTGGTTAAGACAAGAATAATAGAGAAACCAACAAGGAAAAATGCAAACCCAGACATCTAACAATAATGCTTTTGCAAAGGTGCTTTCCTATACCATCCCATTTATTCCTCTCAACAACTCCATATTGTAATAATCTTCATTTTATATTATAGTTGAGTCAAATGATGTTCAGTTTAGTTAATTGGCTCAAGACTGCATAGCAACTAAGCAATGGTACCAGGACTTACATCCAGAGCTAGTGACTTTTCTTTTTTTAGACCGAGTCTTGCTGTCACCCAGGCTGGAGTGCAGTGGCGTGATCTCAGCTCTCTATAACCTCTGCCTCCCAGGTTCAAGTGATCCTCCTGCCTCAGCCTCCCGAGTAGCTGGAATTACAGGCTTGCACCACTAAGCCCAGCTAATTTCTGTATTTTTAGTAGAGACAGGGTTTCACCATGTTAGCCAGGCTGGTCTCAAACCCCTGACCTCAAGTGATCCGCCCACCTCGGGCTCCCAAAGTGCTGGGATTACAGGCATGAGCCACTGTGCCCGGCCACTAGTGACTTTAAATGCAATACTCTTTCCAAGACTACACCAAGATATAGCACAACCTCCATTTTCTCTCCACCTTCTGTGGCCAGACAGGTAGCCACAAGAGAATAGAAACCTCCTCAGCTGTCCAAATGCATTTCCCAAGAAGTAAAAGACATTTAAGGATTAACTTCTTAGAGAGAGTATTTCCTTGATGAGCATGGCTTTCAGCCAACAAATAGAATAAACAAAACTACCTCTAATACACCTCAGAAATGCAAGAACTCATTTGTGTGTGGCCTTGAAAATTTTAAAGAGGAAAACTCCAGACAGGCAACTAGTAAGCATTTTTAACTCCAGCTGTGACAGGAAGTGAAATTTTAAATGGCAAAATAGAGGGAAAAGCTATTAAATAAGGGCCTCCACAGAACACGGTAGCATTCAGCCCAGGGGTTTCCCACCTCAACAAAAGTCACTATGACAACACTGGGAAATCAAGAGCATTCATGTGCAGTGATGGTGAACACATCTACAGACCTGGAGCAGAGTGACACCTCCAGCATTGGTATGGGTTATATAATTAGCAATGAAGAAGAGACAGCTTCCTTGGACAAAAAAATATGTTTGTGATACTGTGACAACAAAGTTAAATGGATTCCTTTGCTCTAGGACTTCCCAAGAGGGGAATAGTTTATACACTGATTTAAGAAATGGTGAGTTCCAGCAATAAAATGATCATTTGTAACAGTTGCAGAGAGAAACTGATCATTCTGGACAACTAGTTCAGGTGTAACAAATAGATGTTCTGTTTGCCTTCATTTCTCCTGCCTGCCCCCATGGAAGGCATGACTAATCACTGCATTTTTTGCCACTGACTCCAGATATAACCGTATACTCTTTAAAACAGCACTTCAAGAAGCCACTACTGGTTAATCATAAATGCATTAACAACTTTGAAACAAAAAAGGGCTGGCATAAAGCTGCTTAGGATAAAGAAACAGACTAGATGATTCCTAGGGTGCAACAGATGGAGAGTCTAGGCCAAAAAGATCTGCTAGCTAACTCTCAGAGGAGGAGTTAAGGGGTAGGGGCCAGATCGCATTTATCATTGTATCCTCGACACCTAGCACAGTGGTTAACACCTAAATCACATGGTAATGATGCGTTGTCATAGTCCATATTTACTATATATATCTATTCACTATTAGGAAAACTGTATATAATTATTCCCTATCATGCATTCTTTTTCTTTTTCTTTTTAATTTTTTTTCTTTGAGACCAAGTCTTGCCCTGCCATATAGGTTGGAGTGCAGTGGCGCAATCTTGGCACACTGCAAACTCCACCTCCCAGGTTCAAGTGATTCTCCTGCCTCCGCTTCCCAAGTAGCTGGGATTACAGGCACCTGCCACCACGCCGCGCTAATTTTTGTATTTTTAGTAGAGATGGAGTTCCACCATGTTGGCCAGGCTGGTCTCAAACTCCTGACCTCAAGTGATCTGCCCACCTCAGCCTCCCAAAGTGCTGGGATTACAGGCATGAGCCACCAGGCCCAGCCATTCTATTTCTTTTTCAGGTATTTTTTTTCTACTATCTTTGTAAGGACCTTAATGAAGAACCTCATTCAGTATTGTTTAAATAAGTACCAGGAACCACAGAGAGTGTATTATCAGCAGACCTTGGTTTGAATCTTGACTTTATATTTATTTGCTCTACAGTCTTGAGAAAATTACTCGACCTCTACAAGCACCAGTATCTTCATTTGTAAAAGGAGGATAATACCATCTACCTTGTAGGATTGTGCTATGGTCTGAATGTTTGTGTCCTCCTAAAACTGATGTTGAAACAATTCCTAATGTAGTAATAGTAAGAGGTGAGGCCTTTGGGAGGTGATTAAGTTATGAGGGTGGAGCTCTGGTGAATGGATTGTGCCCTTATTTTGAAAAGCCAGAGAGCTTGTTTGCCCTTTCTGCCATGTGAGAACACATAGCAGGTGGCTATCTATGAGAAACAGACCCTCACCAGTGAATCTGCTGATGCCTAGTTACTGGACTTCTCAGCTGCCAGATCTGTGAGCAATAAGTTTCTATTGTTTATAAATTACCCAGTCTAAGGTATTTTGTTATAGCAGCCCAAACAGACTAAGACAGGTTATTATAAAGATTAGGGATTTATTACGCAAAGCACCTGATACAGTTCCTGGTTTTTTTTCTATTTACTCCTCTCGTTTCCAGAAAGATTTAAAGTGGCCTAAAAAGTTACCTACAATTAAGTAAATAAATTTAAAATAAACATGTAAACATTTTACAGCAAAAGGGAAACAAAAATATTTAAAAACACAGTAAACAGGCCGGGCACAGTGGCTCACACCTGTAATTCCAGCACTTTGAGAGGCCAAGGCGGGCGGATCACGAGGTCAGGAGATCAAGACCATCCTGGCTAACATGGTGAAACCCTGTCTCTACTAAAAAATACAAAAAAATAGCTGGGCGTAGTGGCGGGCGCCTGTAGTCCCAGCTACTCAGGAGGCTGAGACAGGAGAATGGCATGAACCCGGGAGGCGGAGCTTGCAGTGAGCCAAGATCGCACCACTGCACTCCAGCCTAGGTGACAGAGTGAGACTCCGTCTCAAAAAAAAAAAAAAAAAAATACAGTAAACAAGGAGTGAGTTACAGCATCTCATACATGGTAGACATACAATTAAATGTTAGTTGTTGGTAGTAATAGTTTGTATTAATAACATTAGTTGTCACTGTTGATGTCATCATCTCTGCTGAGAGGATTCCATTTATCTTTCAAATTCAATTCATCTTTCAAATCCCCTTCTGGGGTCCAGCCCTATTAGATAGCAAATATGATGTAAAAACCTCAAAAATTAAAACTGTGGTATAGGTATATGACCAGATAGACCAATAGAACAGAATAGAATGTCCATAAGAGATTTCAGTTTATGATAAAGTTGCATCATATATATGCATAAAGTACAGGATAAAGTTTAGTCTATAATAAAGTTGCAAGATTTTGAAGACCTCACATACAGAAATAGACATTAAGGCACAAAGAAGTTAAATAACTTGCCAAGTTCATGCAGCTAGTAAATTACAGAACTGGGATTTGAATGTAGGCATTCTAATCCAGAGTCCATTGTATTAACCACTAAATGATAAAATGTTTTTTAAAAAAGCAAACTACCCATCAGTAAGTATAATATGCTACATTTGGGGAGGAAGAAAGAAACTTATTTATGTTTGCTCATGTATGCACACAGAAATTCTGGAATGACACACAAGAAACTAATAGCAGTAGTTACCTTTGGAGAATGTGGAGATGGACAAAAGGGTAATGGGGATATATATATGTGTGTGTATATATGCATATATATATATGTGTATGTGTGTGTGCATATGTATATACATATGTGTATGTATATATATGTTTATAATTTTTATGTTATACATTTGAACTATATGAATGTATAATCAGATTCAAAATTAAAATAAATACAAAAAGAAAATGCTTGTTCTGAGCAAGCCTTTTCTGACTCCCCCAAGCAGAGTAAGCTCACCCTTTTTTGGGGGTGGGGGTACACAGTATGACTCTGTCACCCAGGCTGGAGTGCAATGGTATGATCTCGGCTGACTGCAACCTCCGCCTCTTGGGTTCAAGTGATTCTTGTGCCTCAGCCTCCCAAGCAGCTGGGATTACAGGCACACACCACCATGGCCAGCGAATTTTTTCTATTTTTTGATAGAGATGGGATTTCGCCCTGTTGGCCAGACTGCTCTTGAACTCCTGGCCTCAAGTGATCCACCTACCTCGGCCTTCCAAAGTGCTGGGATTACAGGTGTGAGCCACCATGCCTGGCCTACCTTTTACTCCTCTCTTTGTTTCCAAATGGATTTACAGTGGCTTAAAAAGTTACCTACAATTAAGTAAATAAATTTAAAACAAACATGTAAAAATTTTACAGCAAAAGGAAACAAAAATATTTAAAAATACAGTAAACAAGGAGTGAGTTACAGCATCTCATACACAGTAGCCGTACAATTAAATGTTAGTTGTTGGTAGTAATACTTTGCACTAATAACATTAGTCATCACTGTTGATGTCATCATGTTTTCTGGCACATTTTATGTTTCACTGTCTTTATTTATGTTCCCTCTCTTGTTCACCTAGATCCTCCAGCCAGTCTGCAAGCTCTTCCAGGCAGGATTCTGCTTCTTTCATTCTTTTATCCCCAGCACAGAGTGCAGTCCCTGACACGTAGCAAGCATCCAGTACATGGGGAAGTGGAAGTGGGAAAAGAGAAGCAGCAGGACCAACCAGCCAAGTTTTGTGGTATTAGCACTCTGGAAAAGGAAACTGACTAGGACCTTCATGTAATAGTGGGAGCTTGGAGAGGAAGTGAGGAGGGAGGAAAATACAGCAACCCTTGCAGAAAAGGTGTACCTAACCCAGCTAGGGCAAAAGGGTAAAAGGGGTACTGCAGGCTGCTGCTAATCAGGGGAAAATGAGGAAGGTGAACATTCAGCTGAGGAAATGGTAGGAGTTTAGCCCGTTCCTGGAAAAGCAAGAAATGGAGCACGATACTAAGACCCCAGAAGAGAAAGACCTCCAGCACAGGAGATTCAGCTGAAGACTCTTTGCTCCTCTGATGACTGAAAATGGACCAGGGAGCATGTGAAAGACTGGCATTGGAGGAGACTCTCAGCTGGTATATGCTATCTATACTTTTGGTCTGTTGCTGTCTGTTCACTGAAACTCTTTGCATACACTCATCTGAAGGCTGAAGGGAGATAACACACTGGGTCAGAGATGTATTTTCCCCAGCAGAGTAAATCTCCAACTCCACAGGCAAGAGATCTGGCCCACTCCAGTCAGATCACCCACACCCTCTACAAAGCTGCATTTCTGTGGGCAACCGTGTGAGTCCTTAGTAGAATTCACAGGAATATATTGCATTATTTAATGTGTTAATCATCAAAACTGCACAGATTCTATAGAACTTATTTTAGAAATACAGATAAAATATGTATAAGTTAAGAGAAACAATGTCTGGGATTTCTTTCAAAATAATCTAGCCCAGGGCCCAGGCACGATAGCTCACACCTGTAACCCCATCACCTTGGGAGGTCAAGGAGAAAGGATTGCTTGAGGCCAGACCTGGGAAACATTGTGAGAGCCTGTCTCTAGGAAAAATTTAAAAATGAGCCAAGTGTGGTGGCATCTGCCTGTAGTCCCACTACTCAGGAGGCTGAGGTGGGAGGATGGCTTGAGCCTGGTGAGGTCGAGGCTGCAGCAAGCCATGATCGTACCACTGCACTCCAGCCTGGGAGACAGAGTGAGACCCTATCTCAAATAATAACAGTAATCATCATCATCATCAACATCATCTAGACTAGAGAGGAGAAAAGTCAGCATGCATTGATGAAACAAGATTCGCCATGTATTGATAATTTTTGAAGCTGGGTGTGGATACATCAGGTTTGTTATAAAGTTCTTCCTACTTTTTTGTATATGCTTTACATTTTTCATAATAAAATGTTAATAAAAAATAGTTTTCGCGGGGCCCAGTGGCTCACGCCTATAATCCCAGCACTTTGGGAGGCCGAGGTGGGCAGATCACCTGAGGTCAGGAGTTTGAGACCAGCCTGGCCAACGTGGTGAAACTCTGTCTCTACTAAAAATACAAAAATTAGCTGGGTGTGGTGGCTCATGCCTGTAATCCCAGCTACTCGGGAGGCTGAGGCAGGAGAATCGCTTGAACCCGGGAGGCAGAGGTTGCAGTGGGCCAAGATCATGCCACTGCACTCCAGCCTGGGCAACAGAGTGAGACTCCATCTGGAAAAAAAAAAAAAAAAAAAAAAAAAAAAAAGAGTTAAGTGCTGACCCAGGCCTTCAGGTAGCCCAGGATTATATTTTATGAGGCATATATTTACCCATGTGTTTTTTTTAGAATTATGCTTCATCAACTTGATAAGATCAATTATTCAGGGGTACTCTATCATCCTTCTGCTTGGTCTCTTTGAATAGTGGGATTACTGGTTATTATTTTTTCTTTTTTATACTTTTCTGTATTTTCAGAATTTTTTAAATGAGTGTCTATTGCCTTTATAGTTAGGAAAATCAATAAAGCTATTTATTATCAATGTGGACTCATGTATTTTTAATTTATAAAATGGATTATCACATTATGCATTATAATAAACCTATTTGAAATTTTACATGTGACAGGAGAGTATTTATTTCTACCCCACAAAGAGTAACAAAATAATACATAAAAATAAGAAGTTTGGATTGTCCAAACAGTAGCCATTAAGAAGAGAATGTACTTTATGTTAAGGATGCTTCTCCCTAAGAGGCAAGCCAGTTAAATGAAAAAAGTAGAATCCTGGATAAATATAGAAAATGTTTGCAGAAGGAAATTTTATTTCATTGCCTCAGTCCTAAACGGCATTAGCAAATACTGCAAAGTAATGAAGGAGGTCATTAAGAAGGAACTAGAAACGCCTTCCAATGTTATGGAAGAAATTCTGACATCTTAATTATATTCTGCCACCTAGTGACAAAGGAAGATTAACATACTTGCTTAGCCCGGCTACAACAGCAGAGAGGCCTGCCCTCCATCATCTGGACACCAGAGCCATGGCCTGACTGCCAGGGCAAGCCTGATCCTACAAGCGCTTGGTGCACAGCATCCTCTCTCTGCTTCTGCTCACAACTCTGGGAGACACTGCAAATATGGTCAAAAGCCACGGAGCTGTTCAGTCTGTGGCTGACAGACTTCCTATGGAGCCAGGTCTACCCTCTGCCACTCAGCACAGTGCACTGGGAACTTTGCTGTCTCCTGCCTGTTGCTAAGGACTTCCAGGGAGAAACAAATTACGAGACTAAAAAGGCATGGCTCACATTGGGCAATTTCATCCCTAACTTCCACTGGACTTAAAAAGAGGAATAAATACAGTGATCCCCTTACCCTGAAATGGGATAACTTTTTTATTTTTATTTTTATTTTTTTTTTTTTGAGACAGAGTCTCGTTCTGTCGCCCAGGCTAGAGTGCAGTGGCGCGCTTTTGGCTCACTGCAACCTCCGCCTCCTGGGTTCAAGCAATTCTCCTGTCTCAGCCTCCAGAGTAGCTGAGACTACAGGTGCACATCATCACACCTGGCTAATTTTTATATTTTTAGTAGAGACGGGGTTTCTCCATATTGGTCAGACTGCTCTGGAACTCCTGATCCCAGGTGATCCAACTCGCCTAGGCCTCCCAAAGTGCTGGGATTACAGGCTTGAGCCACCGTGCACGGCCTGGCATAACTTTTATGCACAAATCTTTGCGATTACACGAGGTGATAGGCACAAAAACTATTGATTCCCCCAATATAAATTGGGGAAGGAGTGGATGTTCTCAAAGCGCATTCGGGGCAGCCACACACCACCTGGAAGAAGCTTCGGGTCTCGTGGATGTGGCCCAAGTGAAGTGGTGGCCCATCATGCATTGCGATGGTGGGTAGGCGGGTAGGGGCGGGGCTAGGGCCGGAAGTAGAACTGTGGCCTCCATGGCCACTTGGGACCCCAGAGGTTCTATGCAAGAAACATAGACTCACCGTGATTCTTTTTTTTCTTTTCTTTTCTTTTGTTTTCTTTTCTTTTCTTTTCTTTCTTGTTTTGTTTTTTTGAGGCGGAGTTTCACTCTTGGTTGCCCAAGCTAGAGTGCAATGGCATGATCTCGGCTCACTGCAACTTCCACCTCCCAGGTTCAGGTGATTCTCCTGCCTCAGCCTTCCGAGTAGCTGGGATTACAAGCATCTGCCACCATGCCCAGCGAATTTTTGTACGTTTAGTAGAGATGGGGTTTCGCCATGTTGACCAGGCTGGTCTTGAACTCCTGATCTCAGGTGATCTGCCCGCTTCTGCCTCCCAAAGTGCTGTGATTACAGGCGTGAGCCTGCCTCCCAAAGTGCTGTGATTACAGGCATGAGCCATTGTGCCCCGCCCACTATGATTCTTTAGAGGCTCTTTGGGGTCTCCTCTGTGCTTCTGTCAGCAGTTTCAGTCCATTTTCCCAAGAACATTGGTGATAACAGCAGTGACATTTAATAAGGAAATTGATCCTGTGTAGAAACTTCATGGACAAGATTAGAGAATACAAATCTAAGTGACTGGCATCTGTAGGACCTTTTGATATTGGCCCACCTTTTCATATTGGCCCAATGTGTCAGCAAGAGCTGGAGAGGAAGCTTTTAAAGCTTGAGCAGATGGCTCATGGCATCAGAATAAATCTTCCGTGAAAGCAATGTCTGAGACGGGGCTAAACTAATAGTCTAAGTCAGGGATCAGTGAACTATCAGCCTGCTTTGTAAATAAAGTTTTATTGGAGCACAGCCGTGCTCATTTATTTAAATATTGTCCTATGGATGTCTTCACACTATAACGACAGACATAAGTAGTTGCAACAGAGACCGTGTGGTCTGAGAAGCCTAAAATATTTACTCTCTGGCCCTTTATAGAAAAAGTTTGCCAATTCATGGTCTGTATGAATTACCCAGGGAGAACATGGCTTTCAGTCTTCCAAAAACATCCATTCCTCCAGCTGGCTTCTAATAAGAATTACAGATGATATAGTGATGAAGTCCTAAGAATTCACTTTTTGGTTTAGAAGCTGATAAACTGGTACTCTTAAAAAAAAAAAAAAAAAAGAGAAAGAAAGAAAACAAAAGGAAGTCCAAACTTATAATGTTTGCCAGTTTCCATGGTGTAAATCAGGAGTTCTTAACCTCCACACCATTGGTGTTTGGAGCCAGATAATTCTTTTTTAGACGGAGTCTCTTTCTGTTGCCAGGCTGGAGTACAGTGGTGTGATACCGGCTCACTGCAGCCTCTGACTCCCCGGTTCAAGTGATTCTCTTGCCTCAGTCTCCCGAGTAGCTAGGATTACAGGGATACGCCACCACGTCCAGCTAATTTTTGTATTTTTAGTAGAGCCAGGGTTTCACCATGTTGGCCAAGATGGTCTCCATCTCCTGACCTTGTGATCCGCCCACCTCGGCCTCCCAAAGTGCTGGGATTACAGGTGTGAGCCACAGCACCTGGCCTGGAGCCAGATAATTCTTACGAAGCACTGGCCTTTAAAGAATATTGAGTAGCATCCCTGGCTTCTACCCACTAGATGTCAGTAGCAACCCCCCAGTTATGACAACAAAATATTAATATGTCTCTAGAGATTGTCAAATGTGCCCTAGGGGGCAAAATCTTTCTCATTGAGAATCACTGGTGTAAATACTCCTGCTATAACCAATTTCAAGCTAGTAACTTGACATCAGTGAACATGGATGTGGAGAAAGGTGCACACAGTCTAACAAACCAGTAAGAACCATCTCCAGTGCTGTGTGAGAACATACTTGCACAGGTAGTGATGTTGTTGCCCTATTTTTAAAATTGAGGTGCCTAACCAGGATCCACATAGAAATTAATCTGCTGGCAAGGTTAATTTTTTTCTTCAGGAAGTGGGCTGAATCTCTCTGCACAAAGTTATATACCATAAAGCATGGTTGAGATTACTATGAACTAAAAAATATCCAAAGCAAATATCAACATTTACCCCAATGGTATTTAAAACTCTCAATAATATATCAACAAATCCTATGGCTTTCCAGTGGATTTGACAGGATGAATGAGTCTCAAGGAAATTGAATGACTGTACTTGTTAGATGGATTTGGGTTCTGTTTTGTTGTGATTGTTGTTTTGTGGGGGATTTTGTTATTTAAGTCAAATGAATTTGGGGAAATATCTGCCAATAATTATGATATTATCTTTGGAAGACTTTGCATTAAAAGTACTGACAATGGTTAATTACTCAGAACCAATTACTAGGGACATTCTTGGGCCATGACATTAAAACCATTTCATCAGCACCCAGGAGGACATTTACCCTCCTGTTCCAGGACAGCAGCCATCTATTTTTATCTACAGTTTCAGTTGATTAAGCTATAACACTATTTCTATCAATCCTGAATTCTTGAGGGGCATTAAAATGCAAGTTTTGTAGGAGCATCAATAATGCAGTGTCTCTACTGAACTCGTGCTACTTAGAGTGACAGGCCAATAGCAGGTCAATAAAGGCTACAGTCATATTTTTCTTGCCAGATTTCTGCACAAGATCATTCCACACAATGACCAATGTTGTTACCACTTCTGGGTTTCCTTTCCCCTTACTAGTTGTGGCCTCCCTGGACACCACACACATACACACACACACACACACACACACACACACACAGAGTCATCCACAAATTTGAGCTTCACCTCCAGGGTCTCACCTGATTATTTTACCTTCATATAGGATGTTGGCATCTTGTGACATGTTAACACCCACTCATAAGAATTGCAAAAGTTCCCAGATGATCTAGATGCTCCCAAAATCTTGGCACCAAGGTATTACTTAAATATGCAGGACTTCTACAGTGAGCGGCAATAAACAAGTACCAAAATCTATATATCAAATTTGGGACAAATAAAGAATTCCAGCTTGAATTACTCAGACAGTACAACTACCAGAAATAGAGAAATTCTAATTATCATAAGGTGACCTTATGCAGTGATTTTACACACACACACACACACACACACACACACAATGATATAAAAGTTATAAATGCACTATAGCTTAGCATATGATTGTAAACCTCTGACCTTTAAATTGAGTAAAATTTACCCCCAATCCTTTGAAAATCTTCGCATACTTCATCTTCAACAAATAATACAGTAAATGTGCATAAAGACCATTTGCTCTACATGTAAAATTCTGACCTAGAAACCCAGACAAACAGTTTTTTAAGAATGAGCATAACGCAAAGACAAGAACAGTACAGCAAACCACCATAAATTAAAATGGAATTTTGAGAACTAGAAGGTTTCCTTTTATAAAATTGAGTGGCCTCTGTTTTGAGTGTATTCAAATTGAATAGTACTAGTAGAGTTAACAATGAAAAAGTTTGATAAGAATCAGATCACTACCAACAAGAGACTTTGAAAAAAATACAGTAAAATGTTCGGGCGCGGTGGCTCACGCCTGTAATCCCAGCACTTTGGGAGGCAGAGGTGGGCAAATCACGAGGTCAGGAGATCGAGACCATGCCGGCTAATACGATGAAACCCCATCTCTACTAAAAATACAAAAAATTGGGCGTGGTGGTGGGCGCCTGTAGTCCCAGCTACTTGGGAGGCTGAGGCAGGAGAATGGCGTGAACCCGGGAGGTGGAGCTTGCAGTGAGCTGAGATCGCACCACTGCACTCCAGCCTGGGTGAGAGAGCGAGACTCCGTCTCAAAAAAAAAAAAAGAAAGAAAGAAAGAAAGAAAGAAAAGAAAAAATACAGTAAAATAAGAAAGACTTTTTTGTTGTTTTTTTTGTTAAGACAGAGGCTGGAGTGCAGTGGCACCATCTCAGCTCACTGAAATCTCTGCCTCCCCGGTTCAAGTGATTCTCCTGCTTCAGCCTCCCAAGTAGCTGGGATTACAGGCATGAGCCACCATGACCAACTAATTTTTGTATTTTTAGTAGAGACGAGGTTTCACCCTATTGATCAGGCTAGTCTCGAACTACTGACCTCAGGTGATCCACCCACCTCGGCCTCCCAAAGTGCTGGGATTACAGGCGTGAGCCACTGTGCCCAGCCAACACCTATTCAGATTTAAACGTGATGACTCCTGGAGTCACTCCCACTCCTTTCCCTTCAGCTATGTAGCATTCTTTGTTTGCATAAGGCAGAGACTAGAGACTGTTAGGCTCAACAACCTCACCAGTACAACAGTTCAAGTGTACTGCTAACGCAGATCAAATTTGAGTCCCAGTTAAACGTTCCAGGGAATCCAGCACTGAAGAGGAGGGTTTTATTCAGGAGTCTTTGGGTTCCAAGTGAAAAAAATCCAACTCAAACTAGCATGGGCAAAAACATGGTAGCCAAATTCAGAAAGAATGATAGCCAGCTGGGCCTCAAGGTAAGACTGGATTTAGGGACTCAAATACTCTTAGCCCTCCCTTTCTGTTTTCCATCTCTACTGCTCTGCTTTGTCAGCATCTCTTTCTCAAGCCACCTTTTTCCAGCAGGAGAATGGAAGGAAAAAATGACCCCAAGGAACTCTAGGCTTATAACCAGAAAGGAACCAAGGGCCCTTTCTCACCAGCTCTACTTAGGAATATTCTAGGGAAGCCACTGAAGTAGTAGCACAACCAGGCTTGTGCTTTTAAAAGATGCCCCTGACTGCTGCGTGGAGAATATACTGGGCAGAGGCACAAATGCAAGCCCCGCTTGACCCTGCTGTTCCTCGGTGAAATCCTCTCTTCTCCTGCCTTCTGCGACACAGCAACATTCCTGGTCTCTGGTAGAGGCTAAGAAGCCCTTTAGGTTCATTTCTGTTGTCACCACAGAACATCTCCTGGGTACTTCATTATTCCCCAGTTGCACTGGGGAAATAATTCAGAGTACTATGCTGATTCTGAAGCTGGAACTCAAGTGGAAAATTTACTCAGACTGATCCTCAATATCGCTTCTTTCGATAGGTAAATCCAAACCATATTGTTCCAACTACTTTTTCTCCTGAGGCTGCTGTTACTACTTAGTTCAAACATATCCATAGCTCCTCAAGTTTAGATTTAAATACAGACTTCTCAGGCTCTCCACAACACTTCCCTGATTTCGTTTTTCTAAGCAGTTTTTTTTTTCTTTTCGGAGATGGAGTCTTGCTTTGTCACCCAGGCTGGAGTGCAGTGGTGTGATCTTGGCTCACTGCAACCTCTGCCTCCTGGGTTCAAGCGATTCTCCTGTCTCAGCCTCTTGAGTAGCTGGGACTACAGGTGCCCGCCACCACACCTGGCTATTTTTTTTGTATTTTTAGCTGAGATGGGGTTTCACCATATTGACCAGGCTGGTCTCGAACTCCTGACCTTGTGATCCCACCTCAGCCTTCCAAAGTGCAGGGATTACAGGCATGAGCCACCGCACCTGGCCTTTTCATTTTTATTACCTAGATATGTGTGAACACCTTCTCATAGAAGACAAATTCAGAAGTATACAGAGAAAAAGGTGGCAGCTCGCCTTTAGCCTTCCCCATCCCCTCTCCAGAGGTGACCACTCTCAACTGTTTGGCAGGTATCTTTCCAGTCTATTTTCAATACATTTATCATATATATGTATGAAAATACAGATGTCTGTTTTTATAAATATGACAAAGATAAGGCAATATGTACTGTTCGGTCAGTTGCCAACTACTATAACATATATAGTATTATTACTTAACAATATACCTTTCCATTTCAGTATGTATAGGTCTATCTCATTCTTTGTAAGGACAAACTAGTATTCATCAGGTAGATGCATTGAAGTACAGATCTACAATCCCTTATATGCAATTTTAGATCCAAAACATTCTGAAAACTGAATGTTTTTGGTACATTTACAGCAAATTCGTCTGGTGGTAAAACCTGATCTGAACTGACATGAAGCTATTTAGAGTGTTTATTTATCCCACTTAGTGAATATTCATAATTTTCAATGCAAAAATAATAATGTGTTTCATTAGGGAGGTCTCCCCTAGACCCCACTAGTGTTGTATAATATACAACCCCAAATTCTGAATTATGAAACTTATCTTCCCCAAGAGCTTCAAATAAATGACTGTGGATCTATAGTTTTGGGATTGGGTATATATATATGCTTTCACTTTCTTGAGAAAAGCTTATGAAATATGTAAAACTACTACTAAAATAATTAATACTTATCAAATGCTTATTATATACCAAACATTATTCCAATACTTTCCATAAACTAAGTAATGCAATCTTCACAATACTGTCAATAAGTATTATTATGATCCCTATTTTATAGTTGAGAAAAACTGAGTCACAGAGAGACTGAGTAATTTATGCAATTTCTATAGCAGTTTACTAAGTCAAAACTGAATCTAAACCAGTCTGGCCCCTGAATGTGTGCAGTTCATCCATTGTGCCATTTTACCTTTATGCCCTCTGGGAATAATATAATAAATATCTAGTTAGATCTAAGCATTTTTCCCCATTTCTCTGACATCATTTAAAAAAAAATAAAACCTGGCTGGGCATGGTGGCTCATGCCTGGAATCCCAGCACTTTGGGAGGCCAAGGCGAGAGGATCACTTGAGGTCAGGAGCTTGAGACCAGCCTGGCCAACATGGTGAAACCCCATTTCTACTACAAATACAAAAATTAGCCAGGTGTGGTGGCACGTGCCTATGGTCCCGGCTACTTGAGAGGTTGAGGCACAAGAATTGCCTGAACCTGGGAGGCGGAGGTTGTAGTGAGCCAAGATCATGCCACTGCACTCCAGCCTGGGCGACAGAGTGAGACTCTGTCTCAAGAAAAACCAAGCCAGGCCGGGCACGGTGGCTCATGCCTGTAATTCCAGCACTTTGGGAGGCCGAGTTGGGTGGATCACAAGGTCAGGAGTTCAAGGCCAAGATGATGAAACCCCATCTCTACTAAAAATATAAAAATTAGCCAGGTGTGGTGGCGGATGCCTGTAATCCCAGCTACTCAGGAGGCTGAGGCAGAGAATTGCTTGAACCTGGGAGGCGGATGTTGCAGTGAGCCATGATCACACCACTGCACTCCAGTCTGGGCGACAGAGCAAGACTCCATCTCAAAAACAAACAAACAAAACAAAACAAAACAAACAGAAAACCCTACAAATACAGTTGAACCACCGTGTACTCCAACCGAATCCCATTCCCCTTCCTTCAGAGAGGTAACCACTGTCTTGAATTTGGAGTTTATTATTTTATGCATGTTGTTTAAATGTTTATTCAACAACATATAGTACTTTTTTGTATTTTAGAGCTTACATATAGCAGGAAGAGGGACATAATTGAAAAAAGGACATCAAATTCATAAAACAAGTTACTACTAATCACTAATATTCTGTTTCTTAACCTAGATGGTGTGGTGTGAGTATTCATTTAATGTTACTCTTTAAACTGCACATGTACTATCATTTTGTATTTTATACATACCATAATTTTAAGTTTTAAAGGAAGTTTAATATTCATATAAATAATATAATATTTTGTAAATGTTGAAAAAATTTAAATCCCTCATTGGCCTGGCTTGAATATGTTCCTACCCCTCAAGTCAATCACTGTGCCCAGAAGGGTGGATGCTTGTTAGCTAGATTAACTAACAAGCATCGTGTATCCATTCCTGTGGTCAGGGAGTGGGATTTATTATTCAAAGAAGGATAGGTTGGACAATGTTGGACAAACCAACAAATATAAAACAATGGCCATGGTGGGAGCCAGAAGTGTTGGAAAATATTAGAGAAGAAAAATGTCATCCAGACCCCCTTATTTAGAATGTCCATTACCTTCCCCACTGCTACCCAGATGGATATACTTTCTACCTGTCCCTTAAACATTAATTTTTAAATGAAAGCCAAGACTCTAAAAATTAGAAGAATAAAATAATCCAAACGAAGCTATTCTGGAAAAATAAAGAATGAAACTTCCCTCCCCATCACTTCACTCCCTCTACTCCACCCCAGACCACAGGGCAAGAGGATAGAGCCAGCCAGGCATAGTGGCTCATGCCTGTAATCCCAGCACTTTGGGAGGCCAAGGTGGGTGGATCACTTGAGGTCAGGAGTTTGAGACCAGCCTGGCCAACATGGTGGCCATCTCTACTAAATGGCCATCTCTACTAAAGTAGCCATGTGTGGTGTGTGCACACAAAAATTAGCCATGTGTGGTGGTGTGCGCCTGTAATCCCAGCAACTTGGGAGGCTGAGGCACAAGAATTGCTTGAACCTGGGAGGCAGAGGTTACAGTGAGACTCTGTCTAAAAAAAAAAAAAGAAAAGAAGAAGAGGATAGAACTTTGTTTATGCCCACACAAGCAAATTCAATGCTTTCACCTGGTCTTTGGGTAATCTTGGTAGTGGCCATCAGGTGGCATGTGGTTCTCTAATGGACCCAATTTATTATTTCTGGCAAGCTTGAGAAGAGACAAAGTCGTGAAAGCAGGAGGTGACTAATGAAAGACACTAATATTCCTCTACAAAATAATAAGAAAGATCAGCTCCACTGTGGGCAGTGGTGGATTTGCCAATCATGAAGCAGCTCATAAAACATGATACCCTTCTTTTTTGTAGGGTTGATCTGTACCTTGTTGCTTCCCCCAAAATGGAAGGAGATCAGGATGGTAAATATTTAAAGAAATAAACATATCTTAGGATGAGATCAAGAATAAGAACTGGTATTAAATGCCAAAGTACAATGCACCTCCCAATACTTTTCTCCAGAACTTAAGCTACCAATATAGTCACAGAAAGATCTGGACAACCATCATTCTTTTCCAATCCCATCTGATGCAAAGGCTTACTTTTGTGGCAAAGAATACAGAACGCATGCATTCTCAATTATCAGTTTAGGAAATGAGAAACCAACAGGTGCTCAGCCACCACGCTCATCACAGCAACACTTTTGCCCAAGCTCACTAATCATAGAAGTTCCTTCTCATCCCCTGGGAAGAATGAGTGAAGAAACACGAAAAATGCTCTACATGATTGTGGAGTAGAAATGTCTTCCCCTCTATAAAAACACAAGGATTGAGGAATAAATTGATCTCATCTCCCAAATCAACTGTAAATTTCTTAATATCAGGAAAATATGACTTATATTAACTTATGCATTGATCACAGTTCCCAGTGGAGAGCTGGGCATACAATAGACAATAAGCAAATTTGACGCAATTTGACCATTTGCATTAGTCAGGGGTCTCCAGAGAAACAGAACCAATAGGAGATAGTGTATTAGGCTGTTCTCACGTTGCTATAAGGACATAACCAAGACTGGGTAGTTTATAAAGGAAATAGGTTTAATTGACTCACAGTTTCAAAGGGCTTGGGAGGCCTCAGGAAACTTAAAATCATGGTGGAAGGGGAAGCAAGCACGTCCTTCTTCACATGGCAGCAGCAAGGAGAAGTGCTAAGCAAAAGTGGGAAAAGCCCGTTATAAAACCATCGGATCTTGTGAGAACTCACTCACTGCCACAAGAACAGCCTGAGGGTAATCGCCCACATGATTAAATTATCTCCTACTTGGTCTCTCCCATGACACGTGGGGATCACAATTCAAGATGAAATTTGGGTGGGAACACAGCAAACCATATCAGATAGTTGATAGATAGGATGGATGGATGGCTGGATAGATAGATAGATAATTATAAGTAATCGGCTCCCAGAATTTTGGGGGCTGAGAGCCCCAAAATCTGCAGTCCACAAGCTGGAGATGCAGATGAGCCGATGGTATAGTCCCAATCCAAGTCCAAAACCCTGAGAACAAGGAGACTCAATGCTTTAAGTATCTGTCTGAGTCTGAAGGCCTGAGAACTAGGAGAGTCAATGGTGTAAATACCAATCCAAAAGCCAGCAGGCTCAAGACCCAGGAAGAGCTGGTTTTTTAATTCAAGCCTGAAGACAGGAAAAGACTTATGTTCCAGCTCAAACAGTCAGGTAGGAGGAGCTCCCACTTCTTCAGACCTTTTGTCCTATTCAGGTCTTCAATTGATTAGGTGAGGCCCAGCAAATTAGGGATGGCAATCTGCTTTTTTTTTTTTTAGAGATCAGATCTCACTCTGTTACCCAGGCTAGAGTGCAAGTGGCATGATCATAGTTCACTGCAGCCTTGAACTCCCGGGCTCAAGTGATTCTCCCACCTTAGCCTCCTGAGTAGCTGGGGCTACAGGCACATGCCACCAAGCCCAAATAATTTTATTATTTTTTTAGAGACAGGATCTCACTATGTTGCCTAGGCTAGCCTTGAACTCCTGGCCCCAAGCAATCCTCCTGCTTCAGTTTCCCGAGTAGCTGGGATTAAGTCAAATGTTAATCTCATCCAAAAACACTCTCACAGACATGCCCAAAATAATGTTTGACCAAACACCTGGCTATCCTATGACCCAGTCAAGCTGACATGTAATTAATCATTACACTATTCTATACTCTGTGTGTATATGTGTGTGTGTGAGAGATGAAGACTAAATGTAATTTTAATGTATTCCAATTATACCTAATAGTTGAGCAGTGCTCTACAGTTTATAAAACATTTACATATACATTACCTCATTCAGTCTTCACAGCAGTCAGTATTATGAGTATGGAAAATGAGGCTCAAAGGGGTGGCATAACTTGTTCAAAGTCACACAGCTAATAAGAAGTAGAGTTGATACTTGATCCACGTGATCTGACTCAGATCCAATTCTGTCTGCATCATACCATAGCTGCTTTACTATTGCTATGTATTTGTTAAGCATTTTGACCTCCTTAAAGAAGAAAAGGCTGTTGCAAATGAAGTCTGCGGCAGCAGCTGTATCCCCAGCTGTCTGAAATGCCTCCACCAGGTTTGGCAACAGCTGTCTTAGCTTGACATCTCACTGGGCTTCTGTCAGAGCCCCACCTTAGGGAATGACAAGTTTAATAAAGAAAAATCCAACCTTCCCCCTGAACTCCTAGTTTTGCAGATGCAACTGACATCCGACAGGCTTGGAGGCCCTCACTGCAGGGAATGGTGTGACCCCAGCCTCCCAGCTCATAGATTATATGTTTGGCAGCTTTCTCTGCAATTGGTTGGCAACATTTGTGCCTTCTCCAGATCCTACTCCCTAGTCTCAATACTAATTTAGATGCAGTTCAAACAAACACTGAGTATTTCATATGTGCCAGGCACTGGGGATATATAAAAAGATGAGTAACACATCATTTCTGCCTCAGGGACACCCAAAGTCCTACAGAAGAGTTAGAAACTTTATATTGCCAGTATGTCTGTGGAGACAATACCATTACCATGGCAAATGGGCCCCTTTTGAACAGAGAAATTCTAAGGAGATTGCTCAAAAAGTTAAATACGGACTGGGTGCGGTGGCTCATGCCTGTAATCCCAGCACTTTGTGAGGCCAAGGTGGGCGGATCACGAGGTCAGGAGTTCAAGACCAGTCTGACCAACAGGGCGAAATCCCATCTCTACCAAAAATACAAAAAAATAGCTGGTCATGGTGCCGCGTGCCTGTGATCCCAACTACTTGGGAGGCTGAGGCACAAGAATCATTTGAACCCAAGAGGCGGAGGTTGCACTGAGCTAAGACCACACCACTGCACTCCAGCCTGGACTACAGAGTGAGACTCTGTCGCCAAAAAAAAAAAAAAAAAAAAGTTAAATACCATGTTGACAATTTCCTCTGGGAGGAACAAATTCAAATGCCATCAAGAATCTCAGAAGGGCAAGAGCTGTGGAAGGGGCACTTCGAAATCTCAAACAATAAACACCTTTGTTCATGGGTACATAGGTGTTTGTTATTTGAGAACTAGAACCTCATTTTTTATCCTACAAAACAAGACAGTGGTCAGCATGTCAAAGGCCACATGAAAGCATGATATGTTAGGGGACAAAAAAGCAAAGCCACATTATTTGGAGGACAGGGTACACAGAGGACAATGTCAGGAGGTGAGATTAGAAAAAAGGGTGGTGAAAGGGCTGGGTACAGTGGCTCATGCCTGTAATCCCAGCACTTTGGGAGGCCAAGGTGGGCGGATCACAAGGTCAGGAGTTCAAGACCAGCCTGGCCAATATGGTGAAACCTCATCTCTACTAAAAATAGAAAAAAAAAAAGCTGGGCGTGTTGGCACATGCCTGTAATCCCAGCTACTTGAGAGGCTGAGGCAGGAGAATTGCTTGAACCCGGGAGGTGGAGGTTGCAGTGAGCCAAGATCGCGCCACTGCACTCTAGCCTAGGTGACAGAGCGAGACTCCGTCTCAAAAAGAAAAAAAAAAAGGAAAGAAAGAAAAAGGAAAAAAAGGTGTGAAGAGGTTTCAATGTCATGCCAAAATGTTTAGAATATATCCTGAATGGAACCATAGAAGATTTATAAGTTGGAGCTGGGGTTAACATGTTTTGATAATGTGATTTAGAAAAGTGATGCTACTACTTAGCAGAGGAAACAGCCATTAGAGAATAGTCAGAGGGAATATTAAAATGTCCCAAGTGAGAGACGATGAGGGTCTTAATCAAGGGGGTGGAAATGGAAACAGGGGAAGGATTGGAAAGACCATTCAGAAGTGGAATAGTCAGCTCTGGGTAAGGAGAGGTGTACAATATCTAGTTATGTGGCAGGGTACTAGAGAAGGTATGAAAGAATCCAGAAAAAGAAGTGGAGAGGGAGAAGGTTCGAGAAGAAGTTGTGAAGTTTGGCTGGGGCTGGACATGCTCAGTGTGAAGGGTTTACAGACCTCCAAGTGAAGATCCTTAGTGGACAGACAGAAAGGATAGCCCAGGAAAATGGAGTGGGCTTACAGATTAAGCCATAGGAGTGAATGAGACCACTCAGGAAGGCAGCATAGAGAGAAAGAAGATGGTGAAGAACAAGGCCAACCCTCAGGAACACTGACATTTAAGAGCCAGACCAGGAGTCAAAAACTGGAAATGGAGAGCAGTCACAAGAGATAAAAGAACTAGGAGACAGCAATGGCAGATTGGCAAGAGTGAGCAATAGCAGCAAATGCTGCCAAGAGATTACAGAAGATTAGAAGTACGATGGAATCTCTAGATTCCTCTGGAATTTGAAAGGTCATTAGATTTAGAGAGAAAAAAAAAAACAGTAGGGGAATAGATCAAATAAGAGTGGCAAAATGTCCATCATTGTTGAAGCTGGATCACAGGTACATAGGTGTTTGTTATAATGCTGTCTCTACTTGTGCATATGTTTGAAATTTTTTCCAAATAACAAGTTGAAATTCTAAAAACTAACACATAAAAAAGATAAAATAAGATCTCATGACCAGCTTCTAAGATAAGGGTTTCAGTTTAAATAGCAAATGGGAAACAAATGGGGGTAGGGGCAGTTGGTCTCAAGTGTAGTATTTTGAACTTTTGCTGACAATGTGACATGGCTGTGGGGCTGGACTGGGCCCAGTGCTTGTATCATTCATTCAGTGTCAGTACAGGAAACAGCTGACACTCAAATTAGGATGGTTCCCTGAGGGCTTAGTAAAGGAAGTATTTATGGAGTAGAAGCAGAGTGTAGAGAAAGCACAAGGAGTCCTGCAGGGATGCCTGTGCTGGTAGCAGCGGATGTCACCAGCTTTCTCTCATGCTCTTGGTGGAATGCAGCCATGCGCATGTATTTCTCATGGGCATACAGGTTGAATGGCGGTCAGCTGGGGGCTCTGTTTCAAGCTGGTGTCTCCACCTGGGCTTGGCTCCTCTTTGTCGATCAAGCTCTGGGCTACTCCACATGTGTTCATTCTGGGCCCCAGACTAAAGAGGCAGCAGTTGCCCAGGGGAAGCTCTTCCTGTGAAGATGACAGGCACAAAAACAAAACAAAACAAAACAACCCCCATGCAATGGCTTTCCTCTTAATGCTAAGGCTTTTCCTAAAGGCTTAGGCTTGAAACTGGCGCAGATGGTTGGGTGTACCCACATCTCATGGGCCAAAGCTAGTCATAAAACCAAGCCCAAACGCAAGGGGCAATATATCCCTCCTTTTTGGCGGGGAGTAACTACAAAGTCACATTCAGGCAAAGAGCATGGAAACCAGGAGGGGTGAAGAATTAAGTCCAATAATTCATCTGCAGCACACTCTGAAAGCAAGGGAGGGAAGCCCGTAATAGAATCCAGAAAGTCATGAGAAGACCCCTTGAGAGAAGGCCTGACCTTCCATCTGGAAGAATGTGAAGAAATCCCACAGGGAGGATGCTAGGGGAATACATGTCCTGACTCCCTCAGGTCTTCTCTCCGGCTGCTCACTCCCCAAACCCAGCCAGAAGCCAAAAAGCAAAGAAGCCCTTTGATCCTTAAAGGTCAGGCTCCCGGGACAGGTAGCAGCCTGGAGAACAGCAAGAGTGAGTCTGTAGAGCCAAAAAGAGGATACAGGCCCACGCACACAGTTCATAGTAAGCAGATGAGCTGGGACATGAATTCTGGCAGTTTGCTCAGAATCCACGCTCTTGATGACTATAACGTAACATCCTCCTTTCTAATCCCTGCTTGGGGGTCCCACTTCAATTTTTTTTTCTTTTTCTTTTTTTGTTTTTTTGAGACAGAGTCTTACTCTGATGCCCAGGCTGGAGCTCAATCTTGGCTCATGGCAACCTCCACCTCCCAGGTTCAAGCAATTCTCATGCCTCAGCCTCCTGAATAGCTGGGACTACAGGCAAGCGCCACCACACCTGGCTAATTTTTATATTTTTAGTAGAGGTGGGGTTTCGCCATGTTTTGGCCAGGCTGTTCTTGAACTCCTGGCCTCAAGTGATCTGCTTGCCTCGGCTTCCCAAAGTGCTGGGATTACAGGCGTCAGCCACTGCGCCCGGCCCCACTTAAATTTTTTGTGGCCTAATAAAGCAGGTGAGCCCTGATTTTAGGCTCTGGACATACAAAACTTAGAATTTAGTTTCAGGGGCTCATTCTCTCCACCCCATAGAAAGTATTCTTTGCTTATAAAAGAACTTACTGCTACTAGAGCAGGACCAAGTGAGGGTGGTGTACAGGCTAATAGCAGAGACTCAGTGTGTGAACAAAACCCTCACCTCCCTCCAGGTCCAGCCCAGGAAAATGGGGAACCTGTGGGATCAGAAGTTGCAGATGATCCTACAGGTGGCCTGGACCGCTACCTGGGCTTCTGATCCAGGGGGAAGGGCAGTGCACCAAGAGAGAGGCTTTTCCGCCCACAAGAGACACAGCTGGAGGTGGAAACAGGCAATTAAGACTGATTGTCTGACTCAGCAATCAAATTAGGCTGTGACAGCTATTGATAGTCAAGAGGAGGCAGGTTGCCTGTGGGAGTTGAGAACAGGCAATCAGTGCAGATTGACGCTTGAGAGGATCTGGGAGCAGATTGTGTCCGAGGGCTCTGGGGAGCCACCTCCCAAAAGGGAACACTTTGCTGAGACCCACCAACACTCTCCTGGTAGGCTATAAGGAAGCTCTCAATGTTTGTGCTGATTGTGTTTCTTGGAGACAAATTAATGGCAAATGAAGCCAAAGTAATAATAATTAGCAGCATTTTTTTTAAAGCAGTAAGTTGTTCTTTTATGAGCAAAAAATCCTTTCTTTGCTTATAAGCATGGAAAGGATGAGCCCCTCAAACTAAATTCTAAGTTTTGTATGTCCAGAACCTAAAAGAAGGACTCTCTTTATTAGGCCACAAAAAATTGAAGTAGGACCCCAAGCAGGCAATAGAAAGGAGGATGTTGCATTATAGTTGTCAAGAGCGTGGATTCTGAGCAAACTGCCAGAATTCACATCCCAGCTCAGCTGCTTGCTGTGAACTGTGTGCGTGAGTTCAGGCAAGCTACGTGCCAATGTGTCCTTAGTTTCTGCATTTGTAAAATGGAAGCAATACCATACAGCCTAGAGTTGTGGATTTAATGAGTTAATAGATGTGAGCACTTAGTAGTGTTGTACACATAATGATATTCGAAGGTTAGTTCTTATTATTGGCCCCAGTAAGCAGACTCAGGGACAATCCCCTGTCCCACATTCAGGCAGCATCCCTACCTTCTACCACTGCACCCTGTGTCACAGTTGGGAGCCTGGGAAGAGAGCGGTCCAGCCCTCTACCTGAGCCTAACTTTCAACTTGATCTTACCCCAGCACTGAATACAACTGAGACAGGATTGCTCTCATCACCTAAGGCTAGAATCCGGGGGAAATTTCCTTTCTCAGTGAGTGCCCTGACCATTCCATCCACCATTGACTCAAGTTGATGAGAACAATTAAAGGAAGAGGTGCTAGCTGCAGAAGGAAATCAGTAGTTTAATGAAAGGCAAAACAAGCCTACTAGAAAGACCAGTCCAAACCAAAAGAAGGAATTGACAAAGGCAGCTTAGCTTCTTACCATGGTGCTTCAGGAGTTATTGAGTCCCCCGTCTCCCTGAAGTTTCTGTCCCTGGGTGGTGTCTCTCTCTTCCTTCACTTTTTTTTTGTTTGTTTTTTTGAGCAGATTCTCACTCTGTCGTCCAGGCTGGAATGCAGTGACGCGATCTCAGCTCACTACAACCTCCGCCTCCCAGGTTCAAACGATTCTCCTGCCTCAGCCTCCTGAGTAGCTAGGACTACAGGCCTGCACCACCACGCCTGGCTAATTTTTATACTTTCAGTAGACATGGGGGTTCATCACGTTGGCCAGACTGCTCTCGAACTCCTGAGCTCAAGTGATCCACCCACCTTGGCCTCCCAAAGTACTGGGATTACAGGCGTGAGCCACCGTGCCTGGCCTCTTCCTTTACTTCTTTTCTTTCCCTCTCCCTCTCGCTCTCACTTCTTTCTTTCTCCTTCACTTTCCCTCTATCCTTTCTCCCTCAGCTTCCTCACTCTCTTTTTAAAACCTGCTTTATGACAGTTTTTACATGTGTTTTGCCCTTGGTTGTCTGTGGATCCATAGCTCTCAGTACAAATACAAGGGTTTTTTTTTTTTTTGCCTTTCAGTTAGGACAGCTGGGATCTATTTCACTAGCTCCATCACTAATCCCCTGTATAATGGTCAGCAATAATAACAGCAAACACATGTTACAGTCAATGCACATCACTGTGGCCAGGTGCGGTGGCTCACTCCTGTAGTCTCAGTGGGTGGATCACCTGAGGTCAGGAGTTCAAGACCAGCCTGGCCAACATGGCAAAAGCCCATCTCTACTAAAAATACAACAATTAGCTGGGTGTAGTGGCATGCACCTGTAATCCCAGCTACTCGGGAGGCTGAGGCAGGAGATTCACTTGATCCTGGGAGGCGGAGTTTCCAGTGAGCCGATATTACTCCATTGCACTCCAGCCTGGGCAACAAGACTCTGTCTCAGAAAAAAAAAATGTGCATCACTGCATCACTCGCCCTTCTAAGTTCTTTATGTGTAATAATAACTCAGTTGTCAGGACATCCCACAAGGGGGTCTTTTATTATCATTATCATCACCTGTAGTAAACCAGATGACTATTCACCAAATACTTTGGGTTCCCTTCTTCAGAATTCTTGCTGGTAGGAGGTTTAAACCATCTCCACCCTGTCGAACAGAGGAGTGACCCCATGACTTTCTTTGGCCAATAAAAGTCATAAAGGGTGATGTGACACTTCCAAACAAGAAGGATTAAAAATCAGTGAGTGCTTGGCCGTGTTCTCCTTTCCTATGCCACGATGACTGGCAGTGTCCCAGCTAGTGGTGGCTCTGTCTGAGGATGAAGAATGCTTGGAATGGGCTGGATGCGGTGGCTCACACCTGTAATCCCAGCAATTTGGAAGGCTGAGGCAGGCAGATCACCTGAGGTCAGGAGTTCAAGACCAGCCTGGTCAACATGGTGAAACCCCATCTCTACTAAAAATACAAAAATTAGCTAGGCTTGGTGGCAGGTGCCTGTAATCCCAGCTACTTGAGAGGCTGAGGCAGGAGAATCGCTTGAACCTGGGAGGCAGAGGTTGCAGTGAGCCGAGACCATGCCATTGCACTCCAGCCTAGGCAACAAGAGCGAAACTCCATTTCAAAAAAAAAAAAAAAAGAAAGCTTGGTATGGAGCCATGGCCAACTCATGAAGCACAGAAAGTATGAACAAGAGATAAATGTTTGTTATCTGTCTTGGAGATTTCTGGAATTGTCTGTTACCACAGCATAACCTAGCCTATCCTGACTGATAAATCCTCATTTTCAGGTAAGGAAACTGAAACACATTTAGAGCATGTCTTGCAGTCTGGCTCCAAAGTCTGAGCTCCTAAATACTACTCTATTTTACTTCTATGAGCCTCAATTTCTGGTTTATGAAGCGAGGTGATCTGTATCCTAGTTGAGAGTGACAAATGTTGTTTCTTTCAGTCTTGTCTATTTGATTCTCACTCAGTCCATTTCCTGCTTCTTTTTTTTTTTTTTTTTTTTTTTTTTGAGTTTTAAACATTGCCAGCATGTTTCTTTTACCGCTGATGGCTGTAAAGGGAACTAGATGGCAACATTTGTTTAGGACCAGGGACTCCTACTACCATTGTTGCCAGCTCAGGACACCTTAGGAAAGAATTCCTAAACCTCCTCTTCTCCCCACCAGGTCTCCTAACTTTGGCATTCTTGGAAGGATGATAATAATTGCTTTCATTTATTAAGTAGCTGCTATGCTGCAACAACTACACGAACATTGTTTCTAATTCTTAAAGCCACACTATAAAGTAGGTATTATTCTCATTCTTTTTGATGAGGAAACTGAGGCCCAATAACACTAAATAACATGTCTAAGGGCTGGCCGCGGTGGCTCATGCCTGTAATCCCAGCACTTTGGGAGGCCAAGGTGGGTGGATCACCTGAGATCAGGAATTCAATGCCAGCCTGACCAATGTGGTGAAACCCTATCTCTACCAAAAATACAAAAATTAGCCAGGTGTGGTTGTGGGTGCCGGTAATCCCAGCTACTTGGGAGGCTGAGGCAAGAGAATCGCTTGAACCCAGGAGGCAGAGGTTGCAGTGAGCTGAGAGCATGCCATTTCACTCCAACCTGGGCCACAAGAGCAAAACTCCATCTCAAAAATAAATAAATAATAAAATAACATGTCTAAGGTCAAATACCTAGTACATTTAGACTCCTGATTCCCTTTCAGAGCCATCTGACACATAAGTTCTTTCCACCAGGCTGCTTGTCGTAGAAACCATCACTCCAGGTGATCTTCTGGTACATTCCCTTTTATTATTTGTGACCTCAGAGGTATCCGAGTCTTTCAGTATATTCTATGTTAAATAATATTTAAAATGCCCCAGGAGACACAAAGAAGAGTCTTCTGAAGAAGGAAGTAGAGGGACGGTTAGCTGAATCTAGGCAAATTCCTAAGAAAGTCTTAATGTAGCAACAACAAAAAACAGAGAGGCTTAAGAAATAAAGTGAAATAGACTAAGCAGTTTGATGTAGGTATTTAAATAAGGCTGAGCACAGTGCTGAGGAGTCTGATTTGAAGCTTTCTGAGCTCTCAACCAGAAATTAATGAAGCAAACCTCCAAGGGACACATCCCAATTAGACCTATTTTCCAGATGATCGACTAGGACCCCAAAGTCTGATTCCTGTCCCTGGTACTCATCTTGGAACAAAATTATCCCTGTTGAGAAGCTATGCACCAAATACCGCTTGCACAAATAACTGCCTGATTTTTACAACAGGTCTGTGTCTTAGGACTTCTTGGCTGCCACCTTAGGATAATGAGCTCATTGGTCATTGCTGTGTTTCAATAAATATTTTTTTCCTGATAATGAGCCAATTTATAATTTAAAGCCAGACATTGTCAGGCCTGGGATCTTTTATAAAAAATGTATCATCATAATTGTTGTTATTTGGTATTGCCATCTGGGTCTCATTTCACAAAATAAAAGGCTTTCTTGTGCTTCTGGAAGCCACTTCTTCCGGGATAGTGTGTCCTCAAAACACCCCCTCACAGCATGGCCTTACGAATAGCGAGTTGTTCATGCAGCCTCCTCCAAACACTTTCTCCTTCGTGATCCCATTTTTAACAAAACCCCCAAATGATAATACCCCCTTATTCAGGCAGCTGCCATTTATAGAGTGCCTGCAATATGCCGGGCCTAATGCCAGATGCTGTGGAGAATGCAAAGCCGTAGAAGACACAGCCTGGCCCTCAACACTCAGTCTGAAAGGCATTAAATAAAAATTCGTACAATTGCGCGATGTTAAAATTTGGAAGCCACGTTAGGATATTTTGCTTTATTGAGGAAAATTAAGGTTCTATCACTCCATCAAGCCTCATTTTACCCCACCATCAAGGAACAGGATGTTGATATAAATCAATCAAATTTAGTATTTCTTGGCCGTGGCTCAAGCCTGTAATCCCAGCACCTTGGGAGGCCAAGGCAGGTGGATTACCTGAGGTCAGAAGTTTGAGACCAACCTGACCAACATGGTGAAACCCCACTTCTACTAAAAATATAAAAAAATTAGCCAGGTGTGGTGGTGGGCACCTGTAATCCCAGCTACTTGGGAGACTGAAGCAGGAGAATTGCTTGAACTCAGGAGGCGGAAGTTGCAGTGAGCCAAGATCGCACCACTGTACCCCAGCCTGGGTGACAGAGCGAGACTCCATCTCAATCAATCAATCAATCCATTGATCAGATTTAGTATTTCTTGGACCACTCTGCCAGGAAGTGGTGCTTTGGGTGTGAGAAGAAAAGAAGCTAAAGTTCTATAGCCCTCTGAAAGTTCTCTGTGGCCCCTCTCAGATACCTCTTTTGCTGTTATCTCTTCACAGTCTTCTCTTTCTTCTTAGACTAGGGAGAGAGAGGCATGGAGCTACCTCCCCACTGGGAATGATCTTCTGTTTCCTTCAGTGGAAACAAAGTGAAGCCTGGGGAGAAGCCACCAGGTCGACATAGGCTGGCAAAATGCTCTCTTGCAATTTCATAGGAGGTGACATTGGGGTATGACATGGTAAGAAAAATACCCAAAACATTAGTTCAAGAGAGTACAACCTGTCCTTTATTTATTTATTTATTTAGAGACAGGGTCTCCCTCTATCCTTCAGGCTGAAGTGAGGTGGTGAGATCATAACTCACTGAATCTTTGTCCTCCTGGGCTCAAGTGATCCTCCCACCTCAACTTCCCAAAGTCCTGGGATTACAGGCATAAGCCACCACACCAGGCCTCTTTTTTATTTGTTTTTTAAGGCAGGGTCTCGTTCTGTCACTCAGGCTAGAGTACAGCGGCACAATCAGCTCACTGCAGCCTCAAACTCCTTCACTCAAGGGATCCTCCTGCCTCAGCCCCCAGAGTAGCTGGGATTACAGGCTGGAGCCACAGCACCTCGCCCTCAAGCTGTCCTTTCGTGACCCACTGAACCATTCATTGTTGAAAAGGCTCATCCAAGAATTATGTAACATGCAATGAGACAGTATCCTCTATGACTTTGCTATTTACTATTAATTAAGGTTGAGAATCATCAGTGATGTTGCATGTTAATTTGTAGATTTTTGATTAGCAGAGAAGCAAATGATTTCTGAAAAGTAGAAACTCCCAAAGGTTGTAGTGTATTGCCCTATAGGATATTAACAATGTATCTAGCCCAGTGACCTTACTCTGATGTTCTTTTTTAAAATTGCCTTCAAATAGCCCATTCCTCAAATAGGCTTGTCAACTTGCTGTGCCATGATGCCCAAATATTTGGGCAAATATTATTCTGGATGTTTCCATGAGGGTGTTCTTAGGTGAGATGAATATTTAAATCGGTGAACTTTGAGCAAAGCAGATTACTTTCCATAACGTGGGTGGGCCTCATCCAGTCAGTTAAAGGTCTGAATAAAACAAAAGACTGACGTCTCCCGAACAAGAGGGAATTCTATCAGTAGATGGTCTTCAGACTTAATCTGCAACATCGGCTCTTCCCTGAGTCTCCAGCCTGGCAATTTATCCTACAGGTTTTGGACTTGCCAACCTCCATAATTGCATGGGCCGATTTCTTAAAATAAATCTCTCTATCTCTTTCTCTGTTTACATCCTAGTGGTTCTGTCTGTCTAGAAAACCCTGACTAGTACACTATCTTACTGGTTCCTTCACTAATTAATGAGTTAAATAACACCTTTAATACATGTTTATTCTGTTGTTTTATACAAGTCATATTTTTATTTCACTTTTGAAATTTATAATTTAACAGAGGGTAGAGGCTGATCTAGTGATAATAGAGGATTCCTTTGTGCTGGCCTTGTCCTCTGGCAGTTATCTCCCCTGGGAACCTCAAGGAGGGGAGGCTGAGGCACAAAAGGATGCTGGTGCATGCAATCTTAGATCTTAGCCAAATACTACTTCCTGACATCTCACTGAGAGCACAAGCCACATATTGTAAGAAGCAGAACTTTGAAATAAAATTATATACAACAAAATAAATAAAGTAGTATTGGACTTTCATCCAAAATATAGAATAAATATCCATACATTAGGCTGGGTGCGGTGGATCACGCCTATAATCCCAGCACTTTGGGACACCGAGGTGGGTGGATCACCTGAGGTCAGGAGTTCGAGACCAGCCTGACCAACATGGTGAAACCCTGTCTCTATAAAAATACAAAAATTAGCCAGGCACGGTGGTGCATGCCTGTGATCCCAGCTACTTGGGAGGCTGAGGCACGAGAATGACTTAAACCTGGGAAATGGACGTTGAAGTGAGCCAAGATCGCGCCACTGCACTCCAGCTTGGGCAATAGAGTGAGACTCTGTCTCAATAAATAAATAAATACATATCCATATGTTCATACTGATAGAAATAAATGATTGAAAAATAAATGGGAGAAGGTTCAAATCTGTGCAGAAGTCCCAATAATTTATGTAGATACTCCACCCTTAAGGAAGTGGAGCATAACTCCCAATTCTTTCAGCACAGACTTTACATAGTAACTTTCTGCCGACAAGTAGAGTATGAAAACAGGGAAGATAAAGAGGAAGTTGACGGTAGGCAAACCTGACAAGCACTAACTCAGCCAGGCAATCAAGGTTAACATCAACAGTGACAGTATGTACCCTTGACATGATATAATGAAAATGGCATTTTTAACTCTGGTTTTCCTCTCAAAAACACATAGCCCCAGTTTACTCATGAAAAAAACATTAGGCAAATGCCAGCAGAGGGACATTCTACAAAATACCTGACCAATACTCCTCGAGATATTCAAGGTCATCAAAAGTAAGGAAAGTCCTCTCCAGAGGAACGCAGGGAGACACTCTGACTAAATGTAATACAGTATCCTGGATAAGATCCTAGAATAGAAAAAAAAGGACATTAGGAAAAAACAGAGGAAATTTGAATGAAGTATGGATTTTTGCCAACAATAATTTATCACTATGGGTTTATTAATTGTGACAAATACACCACACTAATGGCAGATGTTAATAAAGGAGAAACTAGATGAGGGGTATATGGGAACTCTCTGTACTATCTTCATATTTTTTTTTAAACAAGCAGTCAAATGAAACTGAAGAGGAAATATATTCTATTTTGCCTGGAAAAATATCTCCTTCGCACCTTCTTGAAACACTTGTTAGCAGTGCCAGGTACAGGGCCCACCCAGAACAAAGCTGAATAAATGTAATTTCAACACAGTTTCTAAAATACAGCTCTTAGTGCCCTCCCAGTTTCTGAGGTTCTTGGCCTACTAAGAACCAGGGGTGGCGTGCAAAGATGTAGCTGGTCTTGCCTGTGCTTGCAGAGCAGAGTAAAGCCTAAGTGAGGTATATATGGGATCCGTCCTCACTTAGAATATACCTGAGGGAGACTTTGAGGGGTGATCTGCCAAGGATACTGAGCCAAGCTTCTTCCCAGGAGCTCCTGTTTGAATGAAATGTTAAATAGCACAGACAGGGCCCAGAGTTAGTGGGGTGTAGCTTGCTGGGCAGAACTGGGTTACTCCCTGGCGTGCCTCCCTGATCCATGGATGAGGCAGTGGGAGGATGTCCCTCCTAAGCAGTCCCTTTTTATTAAAAAGAAAAAAAAACTTTTAGGTTTAGGCGTACGCATGAAGGTTGGTTACATAGGTGAACTCATGTCATGGAGGTTTGTTGTACACACTATTGCATCACCCGGGTATTAAGCCCAGTACCCAGTAGTTATCTTTTCTGCTCCTCTCCCTTCTCCCACCATCCACCCTCAAGTAGAGCCCAGTGTCTGTTGTTCCCTTCTTTGTGTTCATAAGTTCTCATCATTTAACTCCCACTTATAAGTGAGAACATGAAGCATTGCTTTTCTGTTTCTGTGTTAGCTTGCTGAGGGTAATAGCCTCCAGCTCCATCCATGTTCCCATAAAAGATAGGATCTCATCCCTTTTTATGGCTGCATAGTAGTCCATGGTGTATATGTATCACGTTTTCTTTATTCAATCTGTCATTGATGAGCATTTAGTTGATTCCATGTCTTTGCTATTGTGAATAGTGCTGCAATGAACATTCAGGTGTATGTGTCTTTATGGTAGAATGATTTATGTTTCTCTGGGTGTATACCTGATACATGCCTGGTAGGTGGAGGTTGCAGTGAGCCAAGATCGTGCCACTGCACTCCAGCCTGGGCAACAGAGCAAGACTCTGTCTATAAATAAATAAATATCCATACATTCATACTGATAGATATTCCAAATAATGGAGTTATCCATTATTTGGAATTATCCATTATTTGGAATTTCTATCAGTATGAATGTATGGATATTTATTTATTTATTTATAATGGGATTGCTGGATTGAACAATAGTTCTGCTTTTAGCTCTTTGAGAAATTGCCATACTGCTTTCCACAATGGTTGAACTAATTTACACTCTCACCAACAGTGTATAAGTGTTCCCTTTTCTCTGCAACCTCTCCCCATCTGTTGTTTTTTGACTTTTTAATGATAGCCATTCTGACTAGAGTGAGATGGTATCTCATGGTGGTTTTGGTTTGCATTTCTCTAATGATCTATGATATTGAGCTTTTTTTCATATGCTTGTTTGCCACATTTACGTCTTCTTTTGAAAAGTGTTTGTTCATGTCCTTTGCCCACTTTTTAACGGGTTTGTTTGTTTTTCTCTCGTAAGTTTAAGTTCCTTATAGATGTGGATGTTAGACCTTTCTCAAATGCATAGTTTGCAAATATTTTCTCCCATTCTGTAGGTTGTCTGTTTACTGTGTTAATACTTTCTTTTGCTGTACAGAAGCTCTTTAGTTTAACTAGATCCTATTTGTCAATTTTTGGCCTGGTGCAGTGGCTCACACCTGTAATTCCAGCACTTTGGGAGGCCAAGGTGGATGGATCACTTGAGGCCAGGAGTTTGAGAACAGTCTAGCCAACGTGGTAAAATGCTGTCCCTACTAAAAATACAAAAATTAGCCAAGCATGGTGGTGCACGCCTGTAGTCCCAGCTACTCAGGAGGCTGAGGCACGAGAATCACTTGAACCTGCGAGGCAAAGGTTGCAGGGAGCTGAGATCTTGCCACTGTACTTCAGCCTGGATGACAGAGCAAGACCCTGTCTCAAAAAAGCAAACAAACAAACAAAAAATGCTTTTGTTCCAATTGCTTTTGGTGTCTTCTTCATGAAATCTTTGCCCATGCCTATGTCCAGGATGGTATTGCCCAGGTTGTCACCCAGGTTTTTTATAGTTTTGGGTTTTACATTTAAGTCATTAGTTCATCTTGAGTTGATTTGTATATATGGTGTAAGGAAGGGATCTAGCTACAATCTTCTGCACATGGCTAGCCAGTTATCAGAGCACCATTTATTTAACAGGGAGTCTTTCTCCATTGCTTGTTTTGTCAGCTTTGTTGAAGATCAGATGATAGTAGGTGTGTGGTCTTATTTCTGGGCTCTCTATTCCATTTGATTGGTCTATGTGCCTGTTTTTGTACCAGTACCATCCTATTTTGGTTACTGTAGCCCTGTAGTATAGTTTGAAGTTAGGTAATGTGATGCCTCTAGCTTTGTCTTTTTGCTTAAGATTACCTTGCCTATTTGGGCTCTTTTTTGGTTCCATATGAATTTTAAAATAGTTTTTTCTAATTCTATGAAGAATGTCATTGGTAGTTTCATAGGAATATCATTTATTATGTAAATTGCTTTGGGCAGTATGGCCATTTTAATGATATTGATTCTTCCTATCCATGAGCATGGACTGTTTTTCCATTTATTTGTGTCATCTCTGATTTCTTTGAGCAGTGCTTTATAATTCTCATTGTAGAGATCTTTCACCTCCCTGGTTAGCTGTATTCCTAGGCATTTTATTCTTTTTGTGGCAATTGTGAATGGGATTGCCTTTCTGCTTTGGCTCTCAGTTTGGCTGTTGTTGGTGTATCAGAATGTCAGTGAATTTTTGGACATTGAGTTTGTATACTGAAACTTGCTGAAGTTGTTTATCTGCTGAAGGAGTTGATAAACAGCTCTCTTTTGGGCCGAGACTGTGAGTTTTTTGAGATATAGGATCACGTTGTCTGCAAACAGAGATCATTTGACTTCCTCTCTTCCTGTTTGAATGCCCTTTATTTCTTTCTCTTGCTTGATTGCTCTTGCTAGAACTTCTAATACTATGTTGAATAGGAGTGGTGAGAGAAGGCTTGTGCTGGCTTCAAGAGGAATGCTTCCAGCTTTTGCCGATTCAGTACGATGTTGGCTGTGGGTTTGTCATAGATGGCTCTTATTATTTTGAGGTATGTTTCTTCAATACCTCGTACATTAAGAGTTTTTTAACATGAAAAGTGTTTAATTTTATTGAAAGCCTTTTCTGCATCTATTGAGATAGTCATGTGGTTTTTGTCTTTGGTTCTTTTTGTGTGATAAATCACATTTATTGATTTGTATATGTTGAAGCAATCTTGCATCCTGGGATGAAGCCTATTGATTGTGGTGGATTCATTTTTTGATGTGCTGCTGGATTCAATCTGCAAGTATTTTGTTGAGGATTTTTGCATGAATGTTCATTAAGAATATTGGCCCATAGTTTTATTTTTTTGTTGTGTCTCTGCCAGATTTTGGTATTAGGATGATGCTGGCCTCATAGAATGAGTTGGGGAGGAGTTCCTCCTCCTCAATTTTTTGGAATAGTTTCAGTAGGAATGGTGCCAGCTCTTCTTTGTACATCTGATAGACTTTAGCTGTGAATCCATCAGGTCCTGGGCTTTTTTTGGTTGGTAGCCTATTTATTACTGATTCAATTATTGATCTTGTTATTGTTCTGTTCAGGGAATCAATTTCCTGGTTCAGTCTTGGGAGATGTAGGTGTCTAGGAATTTATCTTTCTTTTGTAGGTTTTCTACTTTGTGTGCACAGAGGTGTTTGTAGTAGTTTCTGATGATTATTTTTATTTCTGTGGGGTCAGTGGTAACATTCCCTTTATTTCTAATTGTATTGATTCTCTTTTCTTTATTAGTCTAGCTAGCAACCTATCTATCTTGTTAATTTTTTCAAAAAACAAACTCCTGGATTTGTTTATCTTCTGAATGGTTTTTTTGTGTCTCAATTTCCTTCTGTTTAGCTCTGATTTTGGTTATTTCTTTTCGTCTGCTAACTTTGGGGTTGATTTGCTCTTGCTTCTCTAATTCTTTCTGTTGTGATGTTACACTGTTAATTTGAGTTGTTTCTAACTTTTTGACATGCGCTTTTAGTGCTATGACTTTCCCTCTTAACACTGCCTTAGTTGTGTCCCAGAGATTCTGGTATGTTGTATCTTTGTTCCCATTAGTTTCAAAGAACTTCTTGATTTCTGCCTTAATTTAATTAACTACCCAAAAGTCATTCAGGAGCACGTTATTTTAATTTCCATGTAATTGCATGATTTTGAATTATTTTCTTAGTCTTGACTTCTATTTTTATTGTGCTGTGGTCCAAAAGTGTGTTTGGTATGATTTCATTTCTTTAATATTTGCTGAGGATAGTTTTATGTCCAATTATGTGGTCAAATTTAGAGTATTTGCCATGTGGCATTGAGAAGAATGTATATTCTGCTGTTTTGGGGTGGAGAGTTCTGTAGAGGTCTATCAGATACAGCTGGTTCAATGTTGAATTCAGGTCCTTGAATGTCTTTGTTAATTTTCTGACTTGATTATCTGTCTAATGCTGTCAGTAAAGTGTTGAATTCTCCCATTATTATTGTGTGGAAGTCTATGTCTTTTTGTAGGTCTCTAAGAACTTGCTTTATGAATCTGGGTATGGCTGTGTTGAGTGCATGTATATTTAGGATAGATAGGTCTTCTTGCTGAAATGAATCCTTTACCATTATGTAATACCCTTCTTTGTCTTTTTCGATCTTTGTTGGCTTAAAGTCTGTTTTGTCTGAAATTAGGATTGCAAACCCTGCCTTTTTCTGTTTTCTGTTTGCTTGGTATATTTTCCTCCATCCCTTTATTTTGAGCCTATAGGTGTCATTACATGTAAGACAGGTCTCTTGAAAACAGTGTACCATTGGGTCTTGCTTCTTTATCCAGCTTGCCATTCTGTGCCTTTTAAGTGGGACATTTAGCCTGTTTAAATTCAAGGTGAGTATTGATATCTGTGGCTCTGGTTCTGTCATTGTATTGTTAGCTGGTTATTAGGCTGGCTTGTTTGTGTGGTTACTTTCTAGTGTCATTGGTCTGTGTGTTTTGTTTTGTTTTGTTTTGTTGAGGCAGAGTTTCGCTCTTGTTGCCCTGGCTGGAGTGCAATGGCGCGATCTCGGCTCACTGCAACCTCCGCCTCCTGGGTTCAAGGATTCTCCTGCCTCAGCCTCCTGAGTAGCTGGGACTACAGGCATGCACCACCACGCCTGGTTAATTTTGTATTTTCAGTAGAGGCAGGTTTTCTCCATGTTGGTCGGGCTGGTCTCGAACTCCCGACCTCAGGTGATTTGCCTGCCTCAGCCTCCCAAAGTGCTGGGATTACAGGGATGGACCACTGTGCCTGGCCTTGGTCTGTATGTTTAAGTGTGATGTTTTATTAGTTTGTAGTGGTCTTTCTTTTCTATATTTACTGCTCCTTTCAAGATCTCTTGTGAGGCAGGCCTGGTGATAATGAACTCCCTCAACATCTGCTTATCTAAAAAGTAGCTTATTTCTCTTTCCCTTAGGAAGTTTAGTTTGGCTGAATATGAAATTCTTGGTTGAAGATTTTTTTTTTGAGACAGAGTTTTGCTTTTGTTGCCTGGGCTGGTGTGCAATGGACACGATCTCAGCTCACTGCAACCTCCACCTCCCGGGTTTAAGTGATTCTCCTGCCTCAGCCTCCCGAGTAGCTGAGATTACAGGCATGTGCCACCAGGCCGAGCTAATTTTTGTATCTTTAGTAGAGATGGGGGTTTCACCATGTTGGCCAGGCTAGTCTCAAACTCCTGACCTCAGGTGATCCATCCACCTCGGCCTCCCAAAGTGCTGGGATTACAGGTGTGAGCCAGCGTGTCTGGCCCAAGATTTTTTTGTTTAAGAAGTTGAATATAGGCCCCATTTTCTACTGGCTTGAAGGGTTTCAGCTGAGAGGTTCACTGTTAGCGTGATGGGGTTCCCTTTATAGATGACCTGTTCTTTTACTTTAGCTGCCTTTAATATTCTTTTTTTCATTTTGACCTTGGAAAAATCTGGCAATTATATGTCTTGGGGATGGTCTTCTTGGGTGGAATCTTGCAGGAGTTCTCTGAATTTCCTGAATTTGACTGTCGGCCTCTCTAGCAATGTTAGAGAAGTTTTCTTGGCCAACAACCTGAAATATGTTTTCCAAGTTGTTTGCTTTCTCCCCCTCCCCTATGAATCATGCCAGTGATTCATAGATTTGACCTCTTTGCATAACTCCATACTTCTAGGAGGTTTTGTTCATTCCTTTTTATTCCTTTTTTTTTTTTTTGTCTGATTGTCTTCTTTCAGAGAGCCAGTCTTCAAGTTCTGAGAGCCTGCTGTTGATTTATTCTGCTGTTAATAGTTGTGATTGCATTGTGAAATTCTTGTATTGTGTTATTGAACTCTGTCTGGTCTGTTAGGTTCTTTTTTTTTTTTGAGACGGAGTCGCCCAGGCTGGAGTGCAGCGGCACAATCTCGGCTCACTGCAAGCTCCGCCTCCCGGGTTCACGCCATTCTCGTGCCTCAGCCTCCCGAGTAGCTGCAACTACAGGTGCCCGCCACCGCGCCTGGCTAATTTTTTTGTATTTTTAGTAGAGATGGGGTTTCACCATGTTAGCCAGGATGGTCTCGATCTCCTGACCTCGCAATCCACCTGCGTCGGCCTCCCAAAGTGCTGGGATTACAGGCATGAGCCACCGCACCCAGCCTAGGTTCTTTTTTATACCAGCTATTTTGTCCTTCAGCTCCTGTATTGTTTTATTTTGGTTCTTTGTTTCATTGAATTGGGTTTTTGCATCCTCCTGCATCTCAATGACTTTGTTCCTATCCATATTCTGAATTTTATTTCTGTTATTCTTGCCAGTTCAACCTGGTTAAGAACTCTTGTTGGAGAACTGGTACAGTTGTTTGAAGGACATGTGACACCGAGTACTTGCATTGGTTCTTTCTCATCTCATCATGTGGATTTTCCTTTAACTGCAGTGTAGATTGAGTACAGTCAGTAGACTTCTTTTCTGGATGTTTTCACTGGGCCATAGCTTTGTGCAGGGTCTTTACTTGAAGCTGGCTTTTTGTCTCTGGTTTCAGAGGAGGGTATGTTAGTGAGGTGTTTTTTGTGTTGAAAGCTTTGAGGTGTAATCCAGCAGGTGGCACTTAAGACTTATTGGTCAGTTGGTAGACTCTTGCTAAGTTGTATGGCCCCTAAGTTTCCTCACAGTTGCAGCCATGTTCCCTCTCAGTGTTCTGAAAGTGGCTCTGAAACTGTGGGTTCTTCTCCCCCTTGAGTGCTGGCTGCAGATTATGGCTTGACACTGCTGGACTGCCCACTGCAGCTCTGGGATTATCTCCTTCCCCAACTTGGAGGTAGGAGACGAAGCGACCTTAGTAATGGTTGTGGTCAAGGGTCTTTTGCTTGTCTACTGGGGGCTCCACCCCAGAGTGATGCAGGTCAGCAATCGCTCAATGCAATCACTCCAGGATGGAGAGTCTATGCTGTGGGACAGGGGTTCCCTGTCTAGTGATGAGCAGATCGGTGGGGGAGGGGTTCCTGTGGGACACCGATTGACCTCCTCTCCTTGGGTTAACTGCAGCTTGCTGGAGGTGTGGATAAGGCACTTAGAGTCTTTGCTCCTATGTTAGTCTGAGGGTAGTAAGGGCAGTTCCATTGCACAGGTGGTGGCAGAGAGCTTTCAGTTGCCCCTGAGGGTTCTGTCCAGGGAGTTGCAGAGCTTCCATTGACTCGATAGCTCTGGTGGCAGGGTGGCTGGAGACCCAGGCCTGGAGGACCTTCCCAGTAAGGAAGTATGGGAACGGACACCCATATAAGTATGGCAACTTTTCCGTAGGGCTGCTGCAGTATGCTGAGGGCCTGCTCCATTCCCTAGTCACCTTGGATTTTCTAGAACCTGAAGGTATCAACAGTGAAGGCTATAAAACAGCAAAGACAGCAGCCTTTCTCTCCCTCTGGGAACTCTGTGCCAGAGAGGTACGAATCTGTTGCTGGCCTGAACATACCTGTAGGAGGTGGCTGGTGACCCCATCTGGGAGGTCCCATCCAGTGAGGAGAAACAGGTTCAGGGACCCACTTAAAAAATTGTTGAGCCACGTTTATGTAAAGCCGTTGTGCTATGCTGGGGGACCGCTTCCGTCCTGGGTTGGCTTGGACTCTCCAAAGGCTAGAATGGCTAAGTTGCCCAGCAGCAAAGATGGTGGCCCGGTCCCTCTCTGGGAGCTCTATCCCAGGGAGGTTTCAAATCTCTGTCAGCCGAAGAACACTGGCGAGAGTGGCTGGAGACCCTGGTTGTGAGGTCCTGCCCAGTGAGGAGGAATGGGAACAGGAACCTGCTTTAAAAAGCAGTCTGGCCACATTTTCGTAGAGCAGCTGTGCTGTGCTGGGGGACTACTTCCATCCCCGGTCAGCCTGGACTCGCCAAAGCCAGGACTGGAACAGCTAAGTAGCCCAAGCAGCAAAGATGGTGAC